>NC_000001.11:210154283-210305799 GCF_000001405.40 Homo sapiens
GCCTGTTAGGAATGGGCGCCGCACAGCAGGAGGTGAGCAGCAGTGGGCTAGCGAACATTACAGCCTGAGCTCGGCCTCCTGTCAGATCAGTGGCAGCATTAGATTACCCTCTACATCCTGTCCATGGAAAAATTGTCTTCCAGGAAACTGGTCGCTGGTGCCAAAAAGGTTGGAGATCGCTGGTATATTTCATTCAAATTTCAAATTTACTAGAAGAAACAACTTTCTTCTAGTATCCTATCCTATTATTTTTTCATGGTCTCTAGAATATGTAGTGATGTCTCCTTTTTCATTCCTGATCATTGTTATTCGTCCCTTTTTTCTTAATTGGACTCTCCAGAAATTTATTCATTTTATTAGTCTTTCAAATCACTTATTTTTATTATCATTTAGTTACCTATGGGTTACTAAAAGTATACCTTTAATTTCCAAAAAATATAGATATTTTATTCTCCTCTAGAACAGAGTTTGGTTTTCTAATCAATCAAAAAACATTATGAATAATTTTCATCATTTGAAATTATTATTTGCTTTAATTTAAAAATTCTGTGTACTTGGGAAAATTATATTTTGTAGTTATTAGGTATAATATTCTGCATATGACCATTAGGTCAATTTTGCTTATTGTGATATTCAAGTCTTCTACATCCTTATGGTACTTATTTGTCCACCCATTTGGTCAGTTACTGAATTTGGTCAGTTAATGAGGGAAGTGTGCTTATGTACCCAGTGATTATGGATGTCTGTGTTTCTCTTTCTAGTTCTGGCCATTTTTGCTTTCTGTATTTTGAGTCCATGTTATTAAATGCATCCAAATTTGGGATTATTTTAGTTTTTAGTAATTTCAATGTTTTATCATCATTTTGTATACTTCTTCAATCTCTAGTGGTGATTATTGCCTTAAAGCCAACCCTGACTGATACTAATGTAACTACATCAATTTGTTTGATTATTTTTTACATGATTAATTTTTCCCATGTTTTTCAACTTTTCTATATCTCTGTGTTTTAGATGTTGGCTTATAAATAGCAGGTAGTTTTGTTTTGTTTATTTAAAGGCACAGTTAGGACATTTGATGTATTGAGTCTAAATCTTTGTCAGTCTTTTAAGGTTGATAATCTTTAAACAATAATTTCTCATATTCAAAAAACAGTTTATTAGCATCTATAAGTTTAAGCAACATTGCTCTTATTTCCTTATAAATATGCAGGGATTTATGAAATCTTCTCATTTCCTATTACTTCTTTGGCTTTTACATAATGAAAAGAAATCCAGGGGCTAAAATATGCTAAGGACAATAATTCTAATCTGGTGTTTGGTTTGCAACTCATCTTTATTGTGATTTACCTACCTAATCCAAATAAACATGGCATAACAATATATCTCTTAATATATCTCTCTTGCAAAATACTATAAAAATGTTATTATTGATTACAGGGCTGTGACTCCCAAATGAGCGTGTCAGAAATGTCGTGTAGTGAAAGTACATCCTCATGTCAGTCTCTTGAACATGGCTCAGTTCCAGAAATTCTTATTGGCCTGCTTTATAATGCCACAACTGGAAGACTATCAGCAGAAGTGATAAAAGGCAGCCACTTCAAAAATTTGGCAGCAAACAGACCACCCAGTGAGTGAAAAATAATTTTTTTAATTCTAATGTTTTCTGCACTTTTGGGACTCTCAGTATTAGGGAGTTCAATCCTATCATTTAGTCTTAACCAATCAAAATGAAATGGTGTAATCATCAGCTAATCTGTTTCATGTTTTCTATTTCCAGTCATTTGGGAAGTAGAAAAATTTGAAATTCAAAGTATTCATAGTAAGGTGACAACTTTTAATTTTTCATAGTATCTGCAAAATAAATTATCTCTATCATAGCCATTATCTTTTAATGCCAGAAAAGGTTACAGGGCCTTTAAAAGTGAGTAATGTTCACAAATATGAACAGGAATGTATATAGCTATTGTTGTTAACTGAAGAGTAATGTGTTTTGTATCTGCATGCAGTACTATGAACTATTTTATTTACTTCTATATTTTCCTTCTTTCTCCCTTAACGATTTAAGAAGAAACTATTACTTCACTTTTTTTTTTCTTCTTTAAAATTATAAGCCAGTACTGCCAGCAGAGACTTTTCTTAGATGGAATGGGCTTTGCTCTTACCAGGACAAACAGAATAAGGAACAGTTTGCTGTTTACCCTGGATGCTAAGAAGGGAAAGCTAGATAGCATACCTCTGCCCTGACTATATGCGTGTTATGTCTGTTACTCTTCTCTCTCTGGATCTCTCTCCCAGTTCAACAAGGCCAGGGTAGGTTATGGGAGGATATTGAAATTGTCACCCAATATACCTCTAAAATGTTGGTACCTAAAAGAGGTAAACTGGGAAAGTGGCAGCTTCTTTTTTTTTTTTTTTTTTTTTTTTTTTTGGAGACAGTTTTGTTCTTATCGCCTAGGCTGGAGTGCAATAGCATGATCTCGGCTCACTGAAACCTCCGCCTCCAGGTTCAAGTGATCCTCCTGCCTCAGCCTCCTGAGTAGCTGGGACTACAGGCACCCACCACCACACCTAGCTATTATTTTGTATTTTTAGTAGAGGTGGGTTTTCACCATGTTGATCAAGCTGGTCGCAAGCTCCTGACCTCAGGTGATCCATCCACTTCGGCCTCCCAAAGTGCTGGGATTACAGGCGTGAGCCACTGCGCCTGGCCCAGCTTCTTTATACTTACCTAAAATTAAAGCTGTTAATGCCGTAAACTAAAAATTTGAAACGAAATCTGAAATAATAATGCCACTTTAAATTTTCTTAAAGAATTCTCACAGACTTACTTAATGCCATGTTTTATTCCAAGAAGCAAGTAATTATTATAGGAGGGGGTCCAGGCGCAGTACCTCATGCCTGTAATTCCAGCACTTTAGGAGGCTGAGGCGGGAGGATCACTTGATCCCAGGATTTCAAGACCAGCCTGGGCAACAAAGTGAGACCCTGACTCTACAAAAAATTTAAAAATTAGTCAGGCATGGTGGCTTGAGACTGTAGTGCCAGCTACTCAGGAGGGTGAGGTGGAAGGATCGCTTGAGCCAGGGAGATCAAGGCTGCAGGGAGCCAAGATTGCACCACCGCACTCCAGCCTGGGTGACAGAGCAAGACCCTGTCTTAAAAAAAAAAAAAATTGGCCAGGTGCAGTGGCTCACAAGGGCCTGTAATCCCAGCACTTTAGGAGGCCGAGGCGGGTGGATCACGAGGTCAGGAGATCGAGACCATCTTGGCCAACATGGTGAAACCCCATCTCTACTAAAATACAAAAAATTAACTGGGCATGGTGGCGCGTGCCTGTAATCCCAGCTACTTGGGAGGCTGAGGCAAGAGAATCACTTGAACCCAGGTGGCGGAGGTTGCAGTGAGCTGAGATTGCGCCACTGCACTCCAGCCTGGTGGCAGAGCAAGGCTCCATCTAAAAAAATAAAAATAAAAATAAATAATAATATTTATTAATTAAAATTAAAAAATAAAGGAGGGGTAACTTTTTTATCCTTGAATTTAACTCTTTCTAGTTGTCGTAAAAATTATTTATTCAATGGAAGTAAAAAGTTACTATAATATATTGGGTTTGCCCCAAATAACATTGGAAAGCTTGCTTCTTACATGTATCACAGAAGGTGTCTATCCCTGACTTAAAAGTCTGAAGGCTTAAATTCATATTTCTACCCTTGGACAGTTGACCTCACTCCCCTAAGTCTGTTTCTTTATAGGTAAAATTAAGGTCATGTCTCTCACAGGGCAAGTGTGAGACTCAAATCAGATAAAGGTGCATAAAAGAAGGATGGAATTATTATTGTTCCCTTTCTCATTTCAGAAGGAGAAATTGAGTGGGAGAAAAGAAGCAATTTCTAGAATAAACAGATTTGGTAGTGTGACTTGATCATCTTCATTAGTATAGACTTAGAATGCAAACTCAAAAGGCCTGGGGGATAACTGAAATGAGTAAAACTCATAGGTGAAAGTTGGGGAGATGGTGAGGCCTGTGACAAACATAAGAGTGCACACCCTGCCAGAAGACTTTCAGATTCACAGATTGTTAGCACTGTGTTGGATAAATAGAACATTGTTTAGGGTCACATTGAGCCCCCAGTTATCAGTTTGCCACTCATGCTTTAGCTAATAATTTACTACATTTTTTTGACAAATATTTAGCTGGAGATGCTAAAAAATAGAATGAAATGATATGTTTGCCTTTCTATCCTTACTGTAGTCACTCTGATAGAAACAGAGCAACAAGGATCACAACTAAAAGGGAGGTCTGGCCAAGCGCAGGGTTGGATAATAAACAGATGACAAAAGATTCACATCCGCAACACAGAGTCGATGTTTCAGGTTACAGAATAGGTATAGCAATTGCCATTATTTTACCATTAGATAGATCTTCAGTATAAGGATAATTCATGGTGTTAGGTGGGAGGTAACTAGAAAGTAAGTATAAGTCAATTTAATTTTATGAAAGTGAAATATTTATAAAGTAAAAGGTAAAACAGTTTTATCAGTTTGTCCTAAATAGTATATATTATATAAGATTATAGCCCCTCATATATACCTAGGTTCTAAGCTTTGAACTATGTTATAGACTGAATAATCCCCATTTTTCCAAAGAAAGAGCAATATTCAAGAGCAAAAAGTTCAATAGTCCTATTTTGTTTTGCATAATTAATTTGTATATATTGGGAATAATAAAAGTATTTGAAATATTAAATTGATACATTTTAAATTTAGCAATAATAGTAAGCATAATAATAATTCTGATGATCTTTATAATTATTCAGTCTTTTATAGTCTGATAATATGCATGATTCTATGTTCAATGTGCTTTAGACCAAGAAGATATCATTAAAAAGATGTCCCCCTTTAAAAAAATGTAATTTTTGTTTAAGATTACACAATAACCTTAAAAATTCTCATCCCATTAAATTTACCCAACATCCTTTTTGTTCAATCCTCTATCTGAATTAAAATGCTAAAGTTTTGTGTTCTTCCACTCCAGTGAACAGTGTTTCCTCTTTAATTCTAACCTTTGACCCTCTTTCACCCAACGATTGACATCTGGTCATTATTTCTTTTACTGCTTTCCACCCCCTGTTGTCAGATGGACTGTTCTGTTGTCTAAAACACTTGATAGGTGGACAGGTTTATATAATCCGAGGTGAGTTCCTGTAGAGGCTAATTGGATGTTGTCTTTTCATGCAAAACCAAAATACCCTAAAACTTGCCAGCAGTGAAGCTGTCCACCATGTTGGTTTCCAAAACAATGCACATTTATTATCTGTGGTACTTTAAATAAAACTAACTTAGAATTTATCTCTGATTATGGATGATGGTATTCAGAGCATATATGAAATAAGCAAAACTTTTTAAAATAAAAATTTTTATTTTTTCATTCATTTGTACTTTGATTCATACAACAGAAATAGATATTTCCTGATAAATATTGCAATTTTCTTTAAAATTAATTGAAATTTTGATATGAAGTACACATGATGGATCAACATGCTGAAGATCATTTGCATGAGTCTAAAAAACTTGAAAACAGTCTTATAAAGAAAGGATTTGTCTCCCAAATAATCAGGCAATGAACTGTTATGTTTCACTTCGTACACTAAACATCACATCAATTTTTTTGTAATTCATAAAAATAGTTCAGATATCATTCTTAAAATTTTACATTAAATTTGTGCCAAAAAACAATCCTATAGTATTTTAACTATCCTGAAAGCACATTAAATGTACTCTTGCATGAAACCAGGAGAAAGTTTTACTTGGTTTGCTAAACTTTGAACCTTTAATGCATTTGGCTTCATTTTTGCCCTTAAATGTTTTTAAAGTATATTTAAAAACCACATCCATGCAGAGATTTTTTTTGACATTTCATCCTAAGCTGTTTTGATGTCATCTTTGCATTCTTGTCTTCCTCTTTTCTCTTCACCATTTGCCTTCATTTCTATTTGTTTGTTTATTCTTATTCTCTGAAAACAGTGGAATGCTTTACAGTGTTGTGGCTAATTGAGCTTGCTAAGTGTTTATTAATGCTATGATGTCCTGCTTAGTGAAGCTAAATGGGAATGGGAACGGGCAGGGGAGGGTAGTGGGAGGTCAAGGATGGGGTGGGAGGGTGAAGGAAGGATTATGAGGTATACCTTTAAATTCTAACTATTACATAGAAATAGTAAGGTTAAGATATTATTACTACCAAAATATTTTTGGCCTATTTAGGATTCTCTGTATTTGTCACATATTATAAGCATCTACATCAAAATGGAATTGGTCGAATGTCCATTAAACATGGTATACACCATATCCTTATAAAGTATAAATACTTAATTTTCTTAGCCTATAAAAAATTGTTTTGAGTTTGTTTCAAATGATATTTGTGATACGTTGTCTTTTTCTTCTTTAGATACATATGTTAAGTTAACTCTACTGAATTCCATGGGTCAAGAGATGTCCAAATGCAAGACATCCATCCGCAGAGGGCAGCCAAATCCAGTATATAAGGAAACTTTTGTCTTTCAAGTGGCCCTATTTCAGCTTTCTGATGTGACACTCATACTGTCTGTGTATAACAAACGCAGCATGAAAAGAAAAGAGATGATAGGCTGGATTTCTTTAGGTCTCAACAGCTCTGGAGAAGAA
The DNA here is from genome assembly GCF_000001405.40 of Homo sapiens. Lineage (NCBI taxonomy): Eukaryota > Metazoa > Chordata > Mammalia > Primates > Hominidae > Homo > Homo sapiens. The sequence goes on from NC_000001.11 coordinate 210,160,965, forward strand.
GAACTCAATCACTGGACTGAAATGAAAGAGTCAAAAGGACAGCAAGTATGTAGATGGCATGCGTTGCTAGAGTCATGATGAATAGAATAAGCAAGCAGTTACCATCAAAGGCAGCATATTTCCAATTCCAACATTACTGTTTCTACCAAGTCCCATTAGAAGAGCTGTTCTTTGAAGAATCATATTCAACCTTCTACCAAAATGCTTTAAGTTCTATGGAAAGAACGTCTCATACTGACATAAATGAAGAAAATATGTGTATCTAGTAGAGCTTGTTTAGGAAACTGAGAAACGTACACTATCATTGCTAAACTAACAGTCCTCCAGAAATTTAATAAGATGTTTTTGATTTGAAGTTAATTTTAATTTAGCAAAAGAGCCAGTCATTTTATGAAAAATCAAAATTATAAGTGATTTTAAAAACCAGAATTTTAGTTGCAATACAATTTTAATATCACCCTACATATTATTTATAAAACATAGTTTGACTGGCCAGTCCCTGGTGTTTGTAATGTTCTTTAATATGAAAAAGTAGTTCTCCAACTCTATCATAAGTCATATCTAATGGTGAAGGGTTTCAGTCACATTGAAAATTGTTTTATTTCAGGCATGTTCCCTTTGTGCACTTAGGTTCATTGTGCCTCAGTTCCTCTCAAAAGCACTAAATCTAAGTGCAAACAAGTATTCATTTTCATACAGGAATTTTTTTAATATGTTATTTTTTTAAAAGTTCATTTTTCATTTGCCTCCGCTTTCGCCTGATCCAAAGAGACCAAGTCACTGTACTGGTCCCTTGCAAGTCTTCTAGACAGGTTGTACTGTAGAACTACGTAACTTTCTGTTGAAAGCACTTCCTGTATTCTTGTATTCCAATGTAGGAAGCTAATAGAGCAGGACTTTACTTTCAAATTTCTTTCAGTGATTGACTCTTCAAAATTGCAGTAGTGTGAAAATACATTTTTTACAAACTGAAAATACAGTAGATAAGCTGTCGAAAATGGAAAACAATTCAATTTTAATTTTCTGCTCTGAGTATTTAGTAACCAACACTGCGTAAAGCAGGTAGCATTCAAAATAAGAAACTGTTCTCTCTCTAAATCTTCACTCTTACTTCAATTTATATTTGTGATATGAAGACTATCCAGTTCTCAGTTTGAATTGGAACATCATGTTAAAAACAGTTATGAGATTCCTTATGAAGTTTCTAGTAACTTGTAACTAGACTTTATGAAATTAACAGATAAAGTTCTTCAACGTGATGTCATCTTGTGCCTTTCATGTAAGTTAAATTTGCTCATACAGCTTGAACGTTGTATTTGCAAAATTAAGCCTTCGATTTTTATAAATGTAAAGATTCCTCAGAACAGTGTCGCAAGATCTTTATTTCCTCTGAAGTATGTAAAAGTTGTATAATGTGCTAACTTTTTAATGGCAAGGCACTTTCATTTGTTTTTATATTTAGGAACTCTAATCAGGAATATTATAAGCTGTTTTCTTTTTAATTTTGCTTCTTACCTAATATATCATTTTATGCATATACTTTATCAGAGTATGTTTTATATATATTAAAAATAGTTTCTTTTTTCTCCTTCTCATTTCTAGTTAAAATAGACAAAAACATACTATTTACCAGTTACTAAAAAGCAGTATATCATTGCTTCTAGTCCCAACTAAGTACTATATATTATTGTAAACTAGAACTTGTTATTACCATAATAACAAAACAATGCGTAGATATTACTTCAGCTTGGCTGTACTGAAAGGCCTTAAAAGAAACCCAAAAAGACCGTGAACTTCTGTATTTTTTTAGTTTAAAAAATGGCAGCTCTATGCATTCATACACATGAATTATAAGAAAAAATACAAATGCTATATTGGATGACATGAGGTTTGAGAATGTGTGTTACAGGGCTGCATTAAAGGGAAAAATCCATCTTTTATTGTTACATCAATGAGCTTTTTCCAGGATTTTTCAAATAAACAAGTAAGAGTTAGAACCTGAATCAAATGGCAAAATATCTCATTTAAGTGTTTTCAGCAACAGTATGAAAAAAGACTTGAAGAGGGGATGTAGATTTTACTGAGAAATTGGACTTAGGCATTTGAAGCTATAATGAACTTTTTAGACTTTGAAACAACTGACTGCATTGCTAACAACTGTTATCTTCCTAATAAAAAGAGTTATCAGTCTTATCTGTAACTGTAACAGAGCTTAGTGAAACACATTAGTAAGACCAGCTTGGTGCTTTCACTCTTAGTGAGAAAAAGACCTAACTAATTGTTATTTGTTAAATCTACCTTTTTTCAGACTATTCCCAGAATTGTGTGTGTGATTTGATACATCCCTAGGGATTTATCTGGCATAAGTATCAAATCCTTCATGGCTTAAAAATTAATAAACAGTTTTTTAATATTTCTGGAAAGACCCTACCTCCACCCCAGCTGCCAAGTCCTCAAAGATTATAAATTATCTATATGAGTGTATGTATCTGTATACACACATGCACCATTACACATACAACATAAATATGTATATGTATATTCATTTGTAAAGGCAAAGGTGCCCTGGCTTTTTCAGATAACTGAATAGAAAAACATTTCATACATTTAGGATTATTTTTCTCCTCTATGTATTTACTAGATATTATATTTGGTTTGGGTTGCTTTCTGCTGCTGTTCTCCTTCACACACAGCAAAATATACATTTGTTTCTGTAGATTGACACAACTTATAATAATTACTCCCAAAAAGTTGTCTGTTCTTTTAGAAAAGGATTAAATAAGGCTCAGGGGACCCACTTCACTCTACTGAATCTAATGTACGAGACAGTACTACTGCTTCTTTGTGTGCTTGAATTTGCATGAAAGCTTAATAGCAAAATCTTCTATCTCAGTAATTATAGCAAATAGGGACCTACTGGTAGGGAGCAGGTGTTGGCTCAGAAACCTGAAAAAGACAACCCACTTTCATACAGTTCTATTAAAATCCCCTAAGTTTTCTAATAAAATGATATAGTCCAAATATGGCAATCGACTGGCATTTATGGGAGCCTCTAAACCTGGAATTATGGGGTTTATTTTTCTCCCAAATGAGCTGCAAAAGATAATTATTGCTGCCCAGTAAACAAAATGTATGTCAAATCAGTAAAGAATTTGTTTAGCATAATATTGCCTTATCTTTCAGAAGCTTTCTTCTATATTCTTGTGTCTTCAGTACAATCCACTTTTGTTTGAAATCCATTTGCATATTATCTTACTGTGCATTTAGTGAATTCTCAATAATGTTGTATTTGCTGACAAGAATAATAAATTGGACCACAATTAAAAAAAAAGAAAACCCAATGAGAAAATAACTACCTGATTAATATACACATGTTTAAATGTAGGACCTGGTAAAGCAGTTTCATCCAACCTAGCGAAAATGCCCAGGGCTGTTTGTTAAATCATTTGCTTGATACCATCATCATTTTCATTTCACTTATCAAGTGAATCAGAAGCATAATCAATAACTGCAAAGTAAGATAGTACCAATAGGAGAAAGAGGTAAAAGAATTGAGAGTGTTTGTCAATATGAAGATGTGTGGGGATACTGAATGATATCATAGTCTTTCCAGTGAAAGAAAAAATAGGCTATGGGAAGATGTAAATTTTTGATGGAGTAAGAACAGTGGTCACCACCAAGTATTTTTCAAGATCCCTCTCCAGCTATGAATAGAAAGGACACAAATTCATTTGCGTAAAATTGCCATTTGCCTACATAGACTAGACAATTCACAGATTTTTCACAAAGACAGTTATTATATATATAGTTATTTGAGTTATCACTATATTATTTCACATTGATAGTTTTTATTTCTAATTTTGTTTCCATTCACTGTCCTCAGTTCCTCTGTGGCCTACATTGAAGGTAGCTGTCAGTATTATTATTGTCAACCATATTTAATATTGAATACAAGTTTAAGCATGCTGCAAAGCATTTTCTAACGTTAATTTTAAAACATTGTCTCTGCCCTCCAAAGTGATGGTTAACAGCTATAATTTACTAAGATCTAGCACAATAATTTATTACTTGCTTGATTCTCAAAACAATACTGTGAGGTAAGTAATGTTATCAACATTTTATTGATAAAGAAACTGCAGCATGAAGAGGTTAAGCAGACTTTCCCAAGGTCATTCGGTAAGTAAGTAGTAGAACTGGGATTGGAACCCAGGTGTAAATTACTCTAAAACCCATGCTATGCATGTTGCATTTGCCTCCCTGTTTGAAAAAAAAACTACTTAGGACATTATATTTATCAATAATCCCACTCACCTTGATTGAATGGCAGAACTAAGGGGGAAAAAACAGCTGGGGAAAGAGAAAAGACTAGAAAAGAAGATCAGAAATTTTTTTTCTTCTCAGGACACAAGTGGTGGTACTTTTGTGTCATTTTGTAGATGACTTTGATTTGCAAAGATTTGGAATTGATTTATTCTACCAGTTTAGCCTATACTTATATTCCAAAAGCATATTAATCAGTTCTGCTCCTTGACCACTTTTAGGAATCCAAGGTGTTTTAATTGTTACATGACCCCCTTACTACTCTATGAAGGGCATAACCTGTGTCTAGCCCATATCTCACTCATATCAGTGGTGAGACAAAAGATTTGTCTTCCTCTGTCCTCTCATTGCAATTTATTTATGTTTTATTCTCAATTTTATTAAGATTTGTCAGGAATTACAGCTAGTTTATTACATATGTCTCTCTTCCCCCTAGGTAAGTAGTCAATGCCTTGTTAGTATCTTTCTGTACCCCTTTGCTTATAGTAGGCAGACAGTAAATATTGAATTGAACTAAATTCCCTGTGGAAGAAGCCAGTCACACTATTACATGAGTCTTAGTTTTTATGAATCTTGTGTTATGTATGGATTTATTTATTCCTTCAGTTAATATATATTTAAGAGTACTAGATATGTGCCATGTGTTGTTGTTCCAAGTGCTACAGATGCAGAGATAATAAATTGGTCGAAGTCTTTGCCCTCATGGGGCCTACATTCTAAGGTAGGAAGATGGCCACAGAATGGGATAATTTCAGGCTAGTATAATGAAGCATTAAGATAGGGGCATGCATAGAGTACCGTGGGATTTAGTAGAAGAGTGCAACATGGAATTCAAAAAAATCTTCCTGGAAAAGATAATCCCTGAGTTGGGTCTTAAAGAACAAATACATGTTAGACTCCCATCAAACTTGAGGACACACGTTCTTTCCAAGAACAAAATGTAAAATAATGGTTTCTAAACTGTAGTATCCTTAAGAATTATTTTGAAAATTTAACTTGGGCCAGGCGTGGTGGCTTACGCCTGTAATCCCAACACTTTGGGAGGCTGAGGTAGGCAGATTACTTGAGCTCAGGAGTTTAAGACCAGCCTGGGCAACATAGCAAAACCCCATCTCTACCAAAAATTTAAAAATTAGCTGAGCACGGTGGTGCATGCCTGTGGTCCCAGCTACTCAGGAGGCTTAGGTGGGAGAATCGCTGGAGCCTGGCAAGTCAAGGCTGCAGTGAGCCAAGATAGCGCCACTGCACTTCAGCCTGGGTGACACAGAAGACCTTGTAGAAAGGGAGGAAGAAAGGAGGGAGAGAGAGAGGAAGGGAGGAGGAGAAGGGAAGGAAGGAGGAGACGGGAAAGAATGAAGGAGAAGGGAAAGAAGGGAGGGAAATTTAACTTGTATTCCAAAACTCCACCTCCAGAGATTCTACTTCATTTGGCCTGGAAGGGAGCCCAATAATCTACATTTTATTAAGCTCTCCAGGAAATTCTGTCTGAGATCTATTGATATAGAATATTAAGTGTATTACATAGTAGTATTCATGAAATGTTTCAGTGCCTGTAGATCAGACCTTTAAGTGTGATAGTGATAGTAATACAGAGATTAAGACTAGGATTAATGTTATTCATCTTTTTCTTGTGCTTCCTTAAAAAGGAAGATATTTAATGAAAAAAATTAATATTTAATAATGAATTTCTGTACATTCACATTCAACATACATTTTTCAAAGTGTTTCTTGGTATAATAAATATGTTGATTTTATGGCTTCCAAAAATTCCTTTCTATCACTGTTCAAATATTTCCTTCTAAGTTATCTTTACAATGATGGATATAAAGTGAAGAATGGGGAGGTATTTATCAAGTAATTTCTTTATCAGTATCCTAAATGAAATAAGACTGACCTTTGAGCAAATGTGTAGTAGCAGCCATAGGTGCTGGCATGTTTGCATTCTTGCATACAGTAAGATTTCTTGCTTCCCTTTATCATCATCTAAATGGCTTCATTGTCATCACACTCATCAGATGAAATGCAGTACTGGATTCTTCTCTAAAAGCAGTGATTCTGTGACTGCTGCTCTAAACTCTAGTTCCTTGATTGTTTTGTTCTTAGGATCCTTTGTTTCAAATAGCAAGTTAATACAGCAGCCTCAGGACCTTCTCTTTCTCTCAGAATAAATGCTGTGGATAAGGTACATCTGAGTTTCCATTTCCCCTCATTTCACATATAGCCATATTTTCTTCTCTGATGTAATATTTTGTATTAACACATTTTACATTTTGAAGTTTTCTTTTCCCCCACAAAGATATGTGGTTATCCCACTTAAAAATGAGCTTATTTGAATATGTGAAATAATGTTGTCATTGAATTAAGCTGTTTTGTGACTGCTGATGTATCACTGTGTTTGATTTGGTGACAGCTTGAGGTCTGGTTAATATAATCTTAAGGTAATCAGCTTGATAGACTGGAATTACTAGTTTATTATCAAAAAATGAATGTAAAAATATTGCTCTTTTCTCTCCCTGTTTAGACTAGTATGTGCCTTTTTAAAAATACTCCCTTTCTTCTTCCCTGCCTTTTTTCCCCACTCTTATTCATATACACTCAAACTAGATACCAGAGTTAGTTCATCAAAGCTGAATAATACCTATCAAAAAGTGATACCCTGACTTTTTTCTCTTAATCACCTGTACTGGACCATAGGGAGGACCAAATAGGCTTTCTTGGGGACTACAGAAAGAGCAAAGCGTAATACTCTTTAATCATAGCATGTTTGTTGTTGCTGTTTCGGTGGTGGTGGTGGTGGTGGTGGTGGTTGTGTACTTACCTTGAATAGTGTGAAGTATCCTAAAATTATGTTGTGTGGGCTGGGAGCAGGAAGGAAACTGATTATTCGTCTAACAAAGGTTTGGCATAATTTTATTGTAAAATTTCAACTGTTTATGACATGAAAATTTCTAATTAATTATAAGAACAAAGTCACTGTGGTGGCAATAGTTGTACAAGATGTTTGACATTATTTCTATGTCAGTTTGATAGTCTGTGTTATAAATTGTCTTATTAGGACCCTTCTTCACCCTCTTCTTTATTATTCTGATTATCAGTAAATCCAGTTTGTACTGTTAGACATTTGAGTTTGTCTTTTAAATATTGAAGACTATTTTAAAAAGAAAAACCATAACATCTTTCTGTTTATTACATTAACATGTGATCTCTCACCTGACGATGTGTTTAAAATGAATTAATAGATAAAATATAATACTCCGTTATATACTGAAAAAAATTTTCAAACTTTGTCTATATATTCAGATATTGCTAGCAGTTCATATTAAATATGACTATTTTGTTTAATGAGAAAATAGGAATTTTTCCTTATCTCTGAGACTTACTGCTTCTCTTTGCCATTCACATCTGGTTGAAGGTGGATGGTTTTGAACCTCGTAACGTCACTTCACTCGTCAGTTTCTGAGTGTGCCAACCTCCTTCTGACGGTTTAATTTTCAGTAACAATCAAACCATTTATTCCTCAGGGGTTGGTCCTCCTAGTGATTCCTGTCCTTAACCCCCATTAGTGTTGATGGAAGTAATCCATAAGCACCAATAGGAGAAAAGGCCCATAAAGGATCAGTATCCCAGAACCCTGAAATAGGACGGCCGCTTCAGTACCCAAATGTCATTGCAATTCTAATGGAGTAGAAGCCAGCTTCTTGGAAGTGAAGATTTGAGATCATTATGTCATATTCTCTCCTTTTGGTGTCCTCCCTTCTCCCTCTAGCTTGCACATTCTTTTTATTTTAAATTTTACAGGAAGCCTTCTTTTAAAAACCTGGTTTTTAAAATTTCACATGTTGCTGTAACCAGGTGATTTCAAAACCCAGAAAACTGAAGTACATACCATACAGTCATAAGAAGTTTGGGGGCTTTTTTGGTTTTTATGTTTTTGGTGTTTTTTTTTTTTTTTTTTTTTTTTTTTTTTGTAGTGTGGGGAGTGGGGAGGAGGAAAAGGGAGAAATCGTGCTTGTTTTGGTTTTGGGAAGTCTTTTTGGATAAATATTGAGAATATTTATAGTATTCTGTAATTATGTGACATTTGTTGTGTGAGGGGAGACCAGAGTAGCTGTTGCACATACATCGACTCTCTTAATATTGAAGCATATTTAAACAGTTGTTTGAAGCAGAGCTAGAAATTAATGGTGATACTTCTAACAGCATTTTGATGTTATAAATATTACTTTAAGTTTATCAAGAGAAAAATTCCAGTAGTAGCTTGCGTTATAAAATTAATTGATTTATTATGTTTCTGTATAATTTTATTGAAATTGCTTTTTTGTGGTGAATATAATATAGTGGCAACGATTTTGAGGAATCTTTAAAGCTGTTTGGAAGAGATGGCCAGCCTTTGGCTAGATTTTTACTAGAATTTTGAAATAAGAAAGTGTATAAATATGTTTTCAGTTAAATTAGCCTTGAGGAAGAATAGTTATTATATGAGTTTTAAGGGTCTTGATAAATGTTGGGACCTACTCTAAAACTCATGAGGTTCCTCACTGATCAATACTCTTGCATTGTATTTTATTTCTCAAAATAATGAAATTTTTATGGAAAAGCTCAATTAGTGGAATCTTTTATTCAATATTCCCTTACTCTTCTTTCTTCCTTCCTTCTTTCTTTCCTTTCTTCCTTCCCTCCCTCCTTCCTTCCTAGTTCTTTCATTTTTTCAGGCAAGAAGCTTCCTTAATAATATAGTTTCTACAGAGCTTTCTTACTTATTTTTCTAATAATGGATATAACAGTGTGATAAAGTTTAAATGCTCCGTGAGCAAAACTCTTATCAAACAACTGAAGAAATACACTGCTGATTAACCTTTTCCTTGGTCTTGAATTGTCTCCAGCATATTTGCTAGTGACTAAACCATTAATGGATCTTATTAGTATAAACACATGTCTGTGTGGTTATCAACAGTGTTGTATTATTGTCACATTTATTTACATTTTTGGTCAAAAATATAAACATGCGTGTGTGAAGCAGTCTGTTTTATAGAGTGAGCATATATGTAATCGTTTTCATATAATTGAAAATGTGCTGTGTGTTGCATTTTATTCTCATGTCGACTTTTCTACTATGTATACACCGATTGTCTCGGTGCCTTTTTCCTTTTGTATAATTGTATTACATACAGAAATTGCTGACCTCTGTGAAAACAGTGTAAAAAAAGTTAAAATTATTATTCCGATGAGATTTTAATGGCAGTTTAATTTTCCAGAGAATAAATTTTGTGTGGGTTAAAAGTTATTTTTCTTCACCTTTATGTAAAAAATCTGTTTACGTTTTAGTACTCACATGGAATGGGTAAACATCTGACTTCATTGATGATGATACATAAACATCAGTCCTAATTCTTGTCATTGACAAATAAATGTTAATATGACTGTTACACAAAATAAAATAATGTCAATTACATAAGGAAATATCAAATGGATATATGTACATGTTATTTAGATCTTGGGTTTGAAAGGAATCTCATCTAAATGTGCTATAAAATATTACTCTCAAAAGGTTTGGGTCATATTATTTTCTTTAATTGTAAGTCAAATCTGGCTTCCAAAGAAAATAGACTTACAAATGCAAACATTTAAAAATATTCTCCTTTAAAGTTCATATAAATCACAAATTAAACTAAATAGCTTTAAAATGATCTCAGTATCTTCAGCTGGAATATGAACTGTTACCTAGTTTGTTCTTTCACTTAATGTGAATTTGTTGTCATTCATATCAGTATTGCTATCCTGTTTAACAAAATAATTTTCTCTTTGCCAATAGTAGTTTGTTGATTTTTAATTCTTTTTCATTAGCTAGTTGTATTGTTTCCCTAAGACCTGGAGTTTAGATATTTTTCATATTTCATTACCTTGTCCATTTTACTTCCAGCAACAAAGATTTATAACAACAGACTTAACAAGTACTATTTTGCATATGAAAAAGAATTTAAACGTTTGGTGCTCTAAAACTGAAAGAAATTAAAGTTGCTGCATCATCTAATCTCTGATTGTCTTTGAATCCTTAGTTCCATAAATTATCCAGAGCCTTTTTTAGTTAACATTTTTAAAGAGGGGAATGCCAGTGCCCAATTGGTCTGGGTTTTTTTTTTTCCTTTTTGTAAAGTTGTCTCTACTGAAATATAATGAAAACATGAAACACTTCTTCTGCTCAGAATAAATGGGTTCATAATGTAATCTCCAGTCTACAATTTAAGGAATTTGTATCCTTTCCCAGTACTCACTGCTGAATTATTCCCCCGCTCTCAAACATTTTGAGCTTCTATTATTAAGACATTTAGGCTGGGCACAGTGGCTCATGCCTGTAATCCCAGCACTTTGGGAGGCTGAGACGGGCAGATCACAAGGTCAGGAGTTCAAGATCAGCCTGGCCAACATGGTGAAGCCCCATCTCTACTAAATAAACACAAAAAATTCATCGGGCGTGGTGGTGCATGCTTGTAGTCCCAGCTACTCTGGAGGCTGAGGCAGGAGAATCGCTTGAACCTGGCAGGCGGAGGTTGCAGTGAGCCAAGATCGCGCCACTGCACTGCAGCCTGGGTGACAAAGCAAGACTCTGTCTCAAAAAAAAAAAAAAAAAAAAAGACATTTAAGGTTAAAAAAGCCAAAAGTAACAGATTTGCTTGAGTGTTGACAAAATTTGTTTTCTGAATTGTAAGAAATGTCTTACTTAGGGACAATTTATTATTTAATACTTTGAAAAACTTTATTTTCATTTGGGTCTTTCAGAGAATTACAATTAATATAAAGTGAAATTCCAGCAAAAAAATTGGCACATCTGCATTCTTGCTAATAAATCATGAAATTATCATTTTCTATTGTTATAAATGGATTTAGTAGTTATTCATTATAACAGGTTACTATATTTAAGGTATGTTTTTTGTTTGTTTTTCTCTTTTTTAAACCAAAACCTCACCAACCATTATATTTTAATTGCAAATTGATTGTAACTCCTTTGATCTCCAATATGCAAAATAATATTTAAGCCAACTTTTTCTTTCCATAGATTATCAAAATATTTCATGATATTTCCCATTTGAAAATAAAGTCATTCCCAATTTTAAAATAAATGGTCTCAGTAAAGGTATATATGGGATATTTTATTAGTAATTTACAATGAATTATAAAAATACACTACATATTTTTATGAAATTAAGTGCCAAATAAATGGGGCAAATTATGTGAGGATCTCATAAACTTATATTGATTAGTAAGAGAAAAAATGAAAACATCTACTCAGCATAAAGAAAATATATCTAAAGGAAAACCTTCCAAAGAATACTTTTAATATGTGGTAGCAACTGCCAATTCTTCACCAGAACCCATGTATTTCTCTTTCTTGTTCATATGGCTAGCTTACTATTTCTAATGTCTTGCCTTGAGATTAGGCATGGCCATGTGACTGAGTTCTAGCCAACTGAATACAACCAGAGATGATGTCCAATTTCTAGGAGGTTTTATTTTTTGAGACAGAGTCTTGCTCTTTTGCCCAGGCTGGGGTGCAGTGGCACAATCACAGCTCACTACAGCTTTGATGTCCCAAACTCAAGCAATCGTCCCACCTCAACCTCCCCAGTAGCTGGGACTACAGGTGCATGCCACCACACTCGGCTAATATTTTTATTTTTTGTAGAGACAGGGTCTCACTATGGTGCCCAGGCTGGTCCTGACCTCAGGGGCTCAAACCGTCCACCTGCGTTGGCCTCCCAAAGTGTTGGGATTACAGGTGTGAGCCACCACGCCCAGCCCAGGAGGCTTTTTAAGAATCAAATATGGCCAGGCATGGTGGCATATACCTGTAGCCCCAGTTACGTGGGAGGCTGAGGCAGGAGGATCATTTGAACCCAGGATGTGGAGGTTGCAATGAGCCGAGATTGTGCCATTGCACTCCAGCCTAGGCAACAAAGGGCGTTCCTGTCTCAAAAAAAAAAAAAAAAAAAAAAAGGAATCAAATATGCCTTTTCCGTGCATTCTTTCACTTTCCACTGGCTGGACACAGAGAAAACTGAAAGCTTTCAGGAATGGCAAAGCCCCAAGTTGGAGAGATTCTGGGTCACTGAGTCACCTCACAGAAAACAGACAACCAGGTATGTATACCTTGGAATGACAGCATAATAAGGAAAAAAAAACTTCTATTATTTTTGAGCCATTACTTATTTTGGAGTACATTTGTTACTATAAACAACCGAAACTAAAAAACTATTGATACCTTCCAGTGGAGTTCTGTGAGAATGAAAACCTGAAATATTCTACATTAACTTAGCAGGCAGGCAGCCAGTGGTGAGGAAATAGATATAGCAGCCTGGAAACCTGTAGCCGTATTTTGCAGTGGCAAAGCACGGATAACCAGTTGCCTGTATATTGAAGGTGGTCAGTGCAACTACCGAAAGTGTAGTTCAGGGGAAATGGATGGAAAGAGCCAGAGTAGCGGTGCATTTGAGATTTTCCTTGCTAAAATGTATTATGAGAAAGCAGTAAACTCAGGCAGGAGTTCTGTGGCTCTCACGGAGAGATTGAAGGGAATGGAAAAGAGCCCTGAGATTAACTGCCTTGGGGTTGGAAAAGTCTGCTGCTTCTGGATTCCCAAGTATTAAGATAGAAAATTGAAAAAAGTGTTGAATAAGAAAAGCCCATTGAGACTGCTCAACCAAACACAGGGACTCAACCTCATGGCAAATATCAGAATTGTTTTAGTGTTCCCTCCTGTTTCAGAGGAACTCCAGGCCAACTTTCATCCTCATGAAGCAAGCTATGAAAGTTGTGTGGCCTCCAAGAAGGAAACAGTTCTCAATATCTGCTTCAAATGAAACCATAGCATGTAACAGTCTTCGGACTCCTCAGAAGTCAGAGCAGGGGATCACTGAGAATAATGAATAACAGAGTTCCTCTTAGAAAATAGATGGAGCCAAACAAAAAACTGCCCCTAGGCCAGGCGTGGCAGCTCACGCCTATAATCCCAACACTTTGGGAGGGTGGGGCAGAGGGATGCCAGGAGTTAGAGACTAGCCTGGCCAACAAAGGGAGACCCAATCTCTACCAATAAATAAATAAGTCGGGCGTGGTGGCACACGCCTATAGTCCCAGCTACTCAGGAGGTTGAGGTGGGAGGATCATTTGAACCCAGGAGTTCGAAGCTGCAGTGAGCTATGCTCATATCACTGCACTCTTGCGCTCTGGCCTGGTTGGCAGAGCAAGACCCTGTCTCTAAAAAAAACAGGAAACAGAAATAAACATTTAAAAACTGCCTCTGCTGAGAGAATTGGGGGCCGGGGTTTCACTGCTGTGAATCAATGACTGCTATGTTTCTCATTCGTCCCTTTTTCAAATGGGAATTTTTAATGGCAGTTATCTTCTTCCTGCTCTGCATTATGTATTTAGTGGAAGTTGGAGGGGCAGATATCTTTAAATTCCCAGGTCATTGGACTTGATGGAAAGGAGAGTGTATCACCAGAGATAGAGGACTTGGAGAAGACTGCAATAACTGGATGGGACTTTAGGTGGTCTTCTTTAGGGAGAAAGTAAGCTATTTAACTAAACCTTTGTTCTCTTCCTGGACGCATGCTAGACTACATTTCCCAGCCTCTCTTGCAAGTATCTGTGGTTATGGGACTGAGTCCTAGCCAACTGGAATGTGAGTGGAAGTGGTATGTACCATTTCTAGGCCCAGTGCCTCCATGGTCTCTCTCCCCATGCATTAGCTGGTTACAGAAGATGGCTAATATACTAAGGGATGGTGAAGCCACAGATGAAAGGAGCCTGGGTCCTTGATTCACTGCTTGGAGGTCATCACCCATCAACCAGTAATATCTTCAGAGTGTTACATGAGAAAGAAAAACTTCCACTGTGTATTTGAGCTGTTATTCATTTGGGGTCTATTTTATCCCTGCAGCACTAGCATACACTGATAAGTAAACTCATAGTAACTGAGGAAAATGCTAGATAGCACTGTAGCAAAAAAACAGAAGTTCCAAACAATATTTGGAAAGGCAAGGTCTAACACCTAATTGTTGGGGGCAAAAATCAAAGAGTAAGATAAGTCTCCAGAACACTGCCTGCCAGCAGTACTGGAAGGAGTTATTTTAGGAATGGATTGTAAGGCTTTTGGAGAGATTCAAAATGCCTAACTCTCCAACTTCATCAAACTACAAGAAATGAGTTTAACTGTGACCCAAGGGATGAAATGAAGTGATAGGTAGAAAGCCAGAGGAACAACTAAAACCTGAGCATCAAACCTACAGACATAACTGAAGCAATAAGAATGTTGGAGGAACACATTTGTAGGGTGAAGAGAGAAAGAACCCAAGCAGTGACCAGAGTTAAGGCAAGGACACCAGAAATGTCATGAGGGGCAAATGAAAACCAGATTGTCAAATCCCTTGAATCCAGACTAGAGACTTGAATAGTTAACCCCATAAGGTTTAGAGTAGAAGAGTAATTTTAAGAAGGCCAGTTTAATAGGGGTAAGAATCAGAAAGAGATCCATTGGAAGCTTTTTTTTTTTTTAAGATGGGGTCTCACTCTGTCGCCGGGCTGGAGTGCAGTGGCACAATCTCAGCTCAATGCAACCTCTGCCTCGTGGGTTCAAGTGATTCTCCTGCCTGAGCCTCCCAAGTAGCTGAGATGACAGGTGCCCGCCACCACGCCTGGCTAATTTTTGTATTTTTAGTAGAGACGGGGTTTCAGCACGTTGGCCAGGCTGGTCTCAAACTCCTGACCTCAGGTGATCCACCTGCCTCGGCTTCCCAAAGTGCTAAGATTATGGGTGTGAGCCACCGCGCCTGGCCGGAAGCTATTTTTTTAAAACCAGATGTTTAAAATCATAAGTGATTAGATATAAGGTAATACTAGTAACCTAGATCATGTGAATAGAGAATTTTTTTTCTTTAATGAGATGAGTGAGAGAGACATTGAAAAGGAAGCGTTCTGAGAATTGATGACCAATTCAGTGAGGAGTCATGCAAAGCACTGGAATGACCAAGTCACAGGAATCAAGAGCTGACATCCTCTCATTAGAATATACGTTCCCCAATGGCAGAAACTTTTCACAACTGTGTGCCCCATGCCTGAACAGTATCTAGGGCATAAAATGAATGAGTATTAATGAATCTTTATTTCTGATGGAGTTTGGGACATTGGGAAGTTTGAGGGGGCTTGAGAGTTTTTTTTGGGGGGTGTCTTTTTAGGCAGCTATTTGTTTTAATTGAATAGAATCAGCCAAGAATGGTTAGATTATATTTAATGTGCATTATTTTCCAAAGCAATAAAAATATACAAATACACTTGAGAAATATATTCAATAATACCTGAGATGAAAAGAATACTTGTTCAACAAAAAGAAGTTGATTTATGAAACCCCATTTCCTCTGTGATTTCTGGCTCATTAATTGATTTTTTAAAAAACCTCTATTTCTGACATTGCTATAACTGTTAATAGGGAAACAATACTAAGCTGACACCAAGCTTTTTTTTTCAATAAACTTCATTTTAGAACAGTTGTAGATTTACAGAAAAATTCAGATGATACTACAGAGAGTTCCCATACACCATGCACCCAGATCCCCCTATTAATAACATCTTACACTGGTACATTTTTTACAACTAATATCCAATTTGCTTCATTATAATTAAATGAAATCCCTGGTTTAATCAGATTTTCTTAGTCACCTCTCCTTGCCTATCTAATGCCCTATTGCTGTTCCAGGATCCTGTTTAGGATCTCACACTGCGTTTATTTATATGTCTCCTTAGGCTTCTTGTGCCTATGACAGTTTCTCAAACACTCCTTGTTTTTGACGACCTTGACAGTTTTGAGGAGGACTGGACAGGTATTTTGTAGACTGTCCCTTAACTGGGATTTCTCTGATGTTTTTGGTTTACAAACCTATTTTCCCATCTGGAAATATTACTCTGCTCAGCATGGAGTTATGAGTTTTAAATGGGTTGACCGAGGCAAGTTATCCAACACTTAATAAGTGTTCATGTAATTTTATTTTCATCTTTTCATGATTAATGAAAGGACACTCATTATCTTTGGCATAAACAGTCACTTCATATGCTTGGGGGGCATTATTAAATCAACCATCTTTTTTCTAAATAATATTAATACCTTTAATAAATTTTATTTTCCAGATTTCCTATTCTCTAGATCCTTTCTAACTAGCTTGACATCCCTTAATCCATGAAATCTGAGCCTCTATTCACTTATTTATCAAGGGTTCAAACACAACAAGGGCTTACAATATGGCTTTACATTTTATACCACTTATCTTACTTATTTTTTATTTTTTAGTCACAAAGCAAGTATAAAGATTCTATTTTAATTATTTATAAACTGTCAAACAAAACTTATTCATCCTGTATTACTTTGATAATTATTTCTAACCACTGGGTAATATTTTGCTACAGTAGCTCTTAAACTGTACAATACAGATGATTTTTGTTTACCCAAGATAGTTTCAGTCTTTATAGGATGTTACCATATGTTGCATACCATCCATGCACATAGATATCCAGAGATTTTGAAAGCAAGAAAAAATATGTTAAACTTCAGTGAAGATATTTTTTAAATGAGTCAGAAACAGTATCCTATAATCTTTATTATGAATGTCAATTTTTTTCAAGCTTACAGGTAATTGGATTTCAAATTAAATTGTGTTTGTGTGTGAGTAAAATCTTTGTAGAAATCTTCATACTTTTCAGAGGATTTTAAACATTTATACTATCAGTTTTGTGATTTTTAAAAATTTGCCTCTTCTGTAAGAGTAAAATATTAAACAAAACCACTGTTGCTCGGGCTTGAATTTACTTAGCAAATAGTTTTCAATGCCTACTATGTGTTAGAGACTGTATTTGGCTTAGGGCTATAAATACAAATGAGATACAGTTTTTTCCCAAATGAAGCATGTGATCTGGTAGAGGAAGACAGACCTGAAAACAAAACAAGGCCAAAAAAATTGTAAATATTCAATGATATAAGTTCGCAAATGGTCCAAGGGCTCACAAATGTCATGGGGTTGGTTCTTCTTGGGGTAGGGGTTGCATCAAAAAGGATTCAACAAGAATTTAATACCTGAATACAGTGTAGAAAAAGGAGTACTGTACATATTTTCTAGGGAACTGGGATGAGGGAAATAGCACATGAACGCAGGAATGGAGATACAAGGCCGAGTGCTTCTTGATGAGTACTGCAAGTCATTAGTCATGGCTGGAGCATAGTATGTGAGGACAGTAGGGTGAAAGATAATGCTGTAGACACAGGCAGAGAACAGAGCAGAGGGGACTTTGTTTGCCTTGCAAAGAATCTCACATTTATCAGTAGACAACAGAGAACCCCTGAAGAGTTTTAAGCCAGACAGTAACATGATGAGATTTTAATTTTATTAAGACCATTCTTGCAGCAATTTCGAAGATAGGTTGCAGCAAAAGAAAAACTGGAAGCAGATGGCCTATAAAGAGGCCATTGCAGTCATCTAGGTGAGAAATGTTTGAGGGCTCAAACTAAGGTAGTCGCAGAGGGAATGTAGAAAAGGAGAAAGAAAAAATACTCAAGGAGGCTGGGCGCGGTGGCTTATGCCTGTAATCCCAGCACTTAGGGAAGGCCAAGGCAGGCAGATCACTTGAGGTCAGGAGTTCGAGACCAGCTTGGCCAACATAGTGAAACCCTGTCTCTACTAAAAATACAAAGATTAGCCAGGCGTGGTGGCTCACGCCTGTAGTCCCAGCTACTCAGGAGGCCAAGGCAGGAGAATTGCTTGAACCCAGGAGGCAGAGGCTGCAGTGAGCTGAGATCGAGCCATTGCACTCCAGCCTGTGCCACAGAACAAGATTCTATCTCAGAAAAAAAAAAAAAATACTCAAGAAGACTAAACAGGCCTTGATGACTGACTAGTTGTGGAGGATTAGAGAGAGGGAGATGTCTAGGAAGATGCTGTTTCTGGCTTGGCCAGTGGCATAGAGGACGTTGCTGTCTACTAAGAGAGGAAGAATAGGGTGAGTTTCTCTGAAGGAAGAGATACTGATTCGGTTTCCCTGTGGTGATATCCCAAAGATTTCTAATAGGTCATTGCATATGCAGGTCCAAAGCTCAGAAGAAAAACCTGAATGAAAGGTATGGATTTAGAGTTTATCAAATTTCAAATCGGTTGGAGTCTAGATAAATGGGATTTGTTATATGCTGATGGCATATAGTTTAACTAATATATGTTACGTAGATGAACATTTAAAAAATCATTTCAGGTCATACTAAACCCAATGAGAAGATGGCATAGCAGACTCCAACACTCCTACCACTCATTAACAATGACTGTTACAAAATAATTAGAAGAGATTTCAAATAAATAAATAAATAGAATGTAAAGAGCCACCATAATGAATGTTATGCTTACTCTAGTTGCTGTTTAATCATTATGAAACAGCAATTTAATCATTATTGGGAACTAGTTCTTTTTCTTTCTTTGTTTTTTGTTTGTTTTTGTTTTTGTAACTAGTTTCTACCACTGATGTTTCACGAATGTTGGATGGACAGTAACTACTAAATAAATAATGAAAAATTTGGTCCGGCACAGTGGCTCACACCTGTAATCCCAGCACTTTGGGAGGCCAAGGCAGGTGGATCACAAGGTCAGGAGATCAAGACCATCCTGGCTAACACAGTGAAACCCCAGCTCTACTAAAAATACAAAAAATTAGCCGGGCATGGTGGCGGGTGCCTGTAGTCCCAGCTACTCGGGAGGCTGAGGCAGGAGAATGGCAGGAACCCGGGAGGCGGGGCTTGCAGTGAGCCGAGATCACGCCACTGCACTGCAGCCTGGGTGACAGAGTGAGACTCCGTCTCAAAAAAAAAAAAAAAAAAAAAAAGAAAGAAAGAAAAATTTATGCGCTGCTTAAAGTAAAAGCTTGAACCATATCAAACAATAAAACTGATTTTAGAAACAAATATTTATACGTTGCATTGAGTGTTGTACTTTGGTGGTCTTAAAACATGGTATGCTATTCATCTATTTAAACAATACTGCCTAATTCAAAACATTTTGGAAACATATTATTTTGGTATTATTTTCAGAGCCCATCTAGCAGTCATGTAAGAAAAACATCCCAATGATTTATAGTCAAAACTCACTTTTGACAAAAATCAGTACTTTTTTCTTTTTAAACTTTTTATTATGGGAAATTTAAAACATCTACAACATAAACAGAATAGAATAATGAACTTTCATGTACTACTCACCGAACTTGAGTAGTTAACTAACATTTTGTCATTCTTGTATGATCTATAGCTTCATGTACTCTCCATCCCCACTTAATTTTTATTACTTTTAAAAAGTTTTAAGGTAAATTTTTTAATATACTTTTATATACCTTATATTGAAATGCACAAATGTTACCTGCACAATATTGACAAACAGATGCACCTTTGTGAGCCACACCTCTATTATAGACCATTTTCATCTACCAAGAATGTTTCCTTACATTATTTTTTAGTCATTTGCACCCAAGGCAATCATGGGTCCATGTATTCATTTAGATTAACTTTGCTTATTCTAGAACTTCAAATAAATGGAAACATACCATATGTACTCTTTGTTCCCAGCTTCTTTTGCTAAGCATAGGATCTTTAGATTCATCCATGTTGTTGCATTTACCAATACTTCATTCCTTTATATGACTGAGTTTCATTGTATGTGTATATCACAATTTGTTTTCCATTCTCCTTGTGCCAGTTTTCTATTGCTGCACCACAAAGCATCCCAAACTAAGTGGCTTTGGAAAAGTGACAATCATATATCTCGCTCATGAATCAGCACTTTGTGTATGGCATAGCAGGGGCAGCTTTTCTCTGTTCTGCATGGCATCCCCAGGGTGGCACAAAGGCTGAAGGTGACTTGATGGTCAGAGGCAGGAATCATCCAAAGACTCACTCATGTACCTGGTGGTTGATGCTGGCTGTCAGCTGGAACCTTAGCTGGAGCCTATGCACATGGCTGCTTGGATTCCTCACAGTCTGGAAGCTGGGCCCCAAGAATAAGATCTCAAGAGAGCAAGGCAATTGTAGGTGGCATTTTTATGACCTATCTTCAGAAGTCACAAAGCATTACTTTCTTCATACTCTGTTGGCCAACACAGTCACAGAGTTCTATCCAGGTTCAGAGGAGTAGAGCAGAGACTCCACGACTCTGTGAGAGAGGTGTCAATGTCACATTCTAAGAACACACGGGATAACACATTGTGGCCATCTTTGGATAATGCTGTCTGCCATAGTCTCCCTTCTGGCCACAAGAGTTCACATCTCTCCCACATACAAAATACACTCAACTCTCTCTTCCAAGAGCCCTAAGTCTCTTACCATTATGGTAATAACACACAGTCCAGGATCTCCTCATGTCATTTAGGTCTGAGTATGGATGAGACTCCGTGGGAGCAGCTCCTGCATTCAGTTCCTTCAGTAGCATTCTGAAGAGTTGTGAACCAGAGAGAAGTTACATGCGTGACACACACCCAACAGACAACAGGAGAACAGGCAGAGGATAACCACTGTAAACCCTCCTGCTCAAAAAGATGTCCACTCCTTGGGATTTCTTCCTTTTGATAAAACGTAGCTCATGTTTGCAACTAATGCATTTTATCAGACTACTCTCTGCTGCAGAAGTTTGGGGATCCAATGAACTCTTTTATTTTTGTACTGTCTTTGTTCATTTCAGTCCAGGCAATCTACTTTTTCTTTTCTTTAAACCTTGTGAGCTTTGTGTGTATTAATTTCCAATCCACCCTATTAGAGAAAAGCCATATCCACAAATCTCTTTAAGAGAAGTCCTACTCTACCTAGAGATATCTATGAGACTGCTATGGGACAACTCTTTCGAGATCTTTAGATGCACCATTGTTTAGCAGGGAAGATCTGTGAGGCATTTCCTTAAGATCCTTAGAAGAACTTCTGTCTATCTGAAAAGGCATATAAAATACCACCTTATGGCCAGGTACAGTGGCTCATGCCTGTAATCCCAGTACTTTGGGAGACCAAGACAGGAGGATGGCTTGAGCCCAGGAGTTCAAGACCAGCCTTGGCAACAGTGAGACCCCATCTCTACCAAAAAAAAAAAAAAAAAAATTAATTAGCTGGTCCTGGTGACATGTGCCTATAGTCTCAGCTACTTCCTTGAGCCTGGGAGGCCGAGGCTACAGTGAACCATGGTTGTACCACTGCACTCCAGCCTGGGCAACCGAGTGAGACCCTATCTCAAAAAAAACATTTTTTTAACACCACTTGAAGTCTTTCTGAGTTCTTAACAAAAGGATTTCCAGTCATGCCCTTGGCTTTATATGTAGACATATTTCTGCAGCATTATTGATTGGCTGTAAGCCATTTCTTAATTCAAGCATCATTTACCATCTGGAGAGGCGGGAAATGAGAAAACATGTAATTTTCGTACCCAGCAAGTCCTGGCTCCTTATATTTAACTGTCCTTTCTCTTATCTCTTTTCTAATGCATTGCCAGTGAGAAGTCAGGTGACATTTTCAATATTCTACCTACAAATCTTCTTAACTAGATTATTGTCTGCATTCGGGACATTTCCTATTTTCCATATTACTGCAGGTGACTTTAGGGACAATTCTCCACCACTATAAAATGAAGGTCTTTTTCCCTGCAGCTTCCAATAACATTTTCCTTACTTTCTCTTCGGTCCTCACTGACAGCCTCCTCAAGGTCCTTTAAGCCCCTGCTAATACTTTATCTCCTCAAGGCCCTTCCAGCTTTGCCTACTATCCAGTCCCAAAGCCAATGCCACATGTTTTAGGTTTTTGTTTTGGCAGCATCCCATCTCCAGGTACCAAAATCTGTTCCAGTTGTCTATTTCTGAGTGGCAAATCACCCCACACTTAGTGGCTTAACAAACCAACAGTCATTTATTTTACTCACAAATCTGCAGTTAGGCAGAGCTTGACAGAGACACTTCATCTCTGCTCAATGCAGCATCAACTGAAATAATTCACAGGCTGGAAATGACTCCACAGGTAGGCTTTGAAGTCATCTGAAGGCTCACTTACCTGTCTGGGGTCAACAAAGGTTGTCATCTGGGACACCGAGGCATGAACTCTCCTGGTTAGTTTCCTTGCAGCACAGTGGCTGGATTTCAGGAACAAGCATCCCAAGAGAATAAGACAGAAGTGTGTGGCATCTGTATGACCCAGCCTCGTAAGTCTCAAAGTGACACTTCCTCCATTCTTGGTTGATTGACACAGTCACAAAGATCTGCCTAAGCACAAGTAGAGGGAATATAGATGTGATATAAGGTGGTGGCCGTCTTAGAGAAATGAAATCTGCCATAGTCCTGTTGCTATTACTTAGTTTTAATCTGTATCTTATTTATAAGTCTAGATTCCAAAGGATATTTTTATATTTCTGATGATCAAACCCATTTTTAAGGTGCCATGATTGAGATATTGAGAATGCATGGAAGCTTTCAATTCCAAAAGAGTTTTTTAAATATTTTCAACAAAACCATCATCATTGCAAGTACTGTTTGAATCTATATGCAATTCTAATTATCAGCCCTTTATCACAGATTATTTATACATGTAGTTGAATGCATTGTCTACTCTGAATGTAAACTACAACGATTAGATTATCACTATCA
This sequence comes from Homo sapiens, assembly GCF_000001405.40. Classification (NCBI taxonomy): domain Eukaryota; kingdom Metazoa; phylum Chordata; class Mammalia; order Primates; family Hominidae; genus Homo; species Homo sapiens. The sequence goes on from NC_000001.11 coordinate 210,183,966, forward strand.
AGGAGAATTAAATTTGGCTCGCAAGAGATAGACTAATTTCCCAAGCTCTTCAACACCTGACAACAATCTTATAAAACATTATGAGACCGTTGGTATCATTAATTATTAGCATGCCTGATTCTTATTTTCCCACTAGCACATTTCTGTGAAGAAAATTAACTCCTATATATTTTTTGTGAATATAACCCAAGAGCATATGACAATCTAATTGTATGCTTAATTATTTCAAGTTGTCTTTTAAAAGTTGGTCCTAAGGATCTCTTTTGCTAAACCCTGTATCCAAAGGAGACCAGAATTGACACAGACTTCTAAGAAAACCCCTAGGCCATGTGCGGTAGCTCATACCTGTAATCCCAGCACTTTGGGAGGCCGAGGCAGGCAGATCACTTGAACTTAGGAGTTCAAGACCAACCTGGGAAACATGGGAAAACCCCATCTCTACCAAAAATACAAAAATTAGCCGGGCATGATGGTGCATGCCTGTAGTCCCAGCTACTCAGGAGGCTGAGATGGGAGGATCACTGGAGCCCAGGAAGTTGAGCCTGCAGTGATCCTGGATCACACCACTATACTCCAGCCTGGGTGACACAGTGAGATCCTGTCTCAAAAAAACAAACAAACAACGAAACCCCCTGAGAAATATTTAATATATAATCTTCCCTGCTATATTTGAGACACCCAATTGTATCAGGAATATTCCATAGATATGGAAAGATGTTTCTTTTGAAACCTTCTAACTATAAATAAACTATCAATTACTGAGTATATACATTCTTGTCACAGCACTACCCACCCCCTCCCCACCCCCCGCCATTTATGGGGGAAGGGCAAAAAAAAATTATATACATATAAAGTCAGTCATAATCATTTAATCTCATGGGTTGGGATCAACTGGAAGAGAATAATCTCATTTGCTAAGAGTGCATGGCACACTGGCTATAGAAGAAAAATGAGCATAGAGAGGTAAATGCCCCGGCAGCTTGCAGATATTCTGGAGCACTGTACTCAGCCTGAATTGGGCTTTTGATTTCAATGTAAGAGAAGGAGAGTGAGTCACTAAAAAACTTCCCACTCAAAGGTCATTTGAGTTATGTATTAGTGATAAATTAGCAGGTTTTACTTAGATGTCTCTTTACATGCTTACTGTACAGGTATAACATTTTAAATCATGTCAGTAACACAGGTTCAACTTTTAAAATAGATATTGAAAGAAAAAATTGCACAATTGCATGTCAAATAAACGTGCCTAGAATGAGCCTTCAGCTGGCACCATGTGGCTATTATCAGGGCTTCACCGCCATCCAGTGTCAGTCTACCCCAATTACAGAAGGAAGGAAACACAACATTTTGAATACTGCATTTGCAAATATAATCATAGAAAGGTTCATAGATACATTTTTTTAAGAAAATAGTTTAAGTATGATTTTAAAGAAAAAAATGACAGAAGAATTTTTTCTTATTTATATCACTTGAGGCATCCTCAGCCTCCCCTCCTAGCTTTATCTTGGGTTTTGTTTGTTTGTTTGTTTTTCGTTTTTGAGATAGAGTCTCATTCTTTCGCCAAGGCTGGAGTGCAGCGCCACAATCTCGGCTCACTGCTACCTCTGCCTCCTGGGTTCAAGCGATTCTTTTGCCTCAGCCTCCCAAGTAGCTGGGATTACAGGCGTGGGCCACCACGCCTGGCTAATTTTTGTATTTTTAGTGGAGACAGGGTTTTGCCATGTTGCCCAGGCTGGTCTCGAACTCCTGACCTCAGGTGATCCACCCACCTCAGCCTCCCAAAGTGCTGGGATTACAGGCGTGATCCACCACTCCTGGCCTTCCCTCCTAGCTTTAAACATTAACCTATTCTTCAAAGTCAAATGGTCTTCTGTTGTCATTGAACTTTCCTTGACTCTATTTTGTTATTGGGAACATTTTCTAGTTAAGAAACTTTCTTTCACAGTGTATAAATTATCAGTAGTCCATAGGAAATCTTAAAAGGTGAAAATGGACTTGATTATTCATGTTATTCAAAGATTTTAGTCTTTTTTCTTGGAATCCATGAATGGATGGCCATCTGGCCTTCTCGTTCCCACTACAAACACAATCACTTTTTTCCCAGTAAAGTTATTGCTGATTCCCTCTTGATTTTGATTTCGTTCTAAATGGGTCTTTCTTTGACAGCCACAGAGTGAAATGTCTTGAAGGGGAAATTGCTCCATATGGTAGTATTGAAATAAAATTCCTGCCAAATTGGATTGATTGGAGGAGCTCTGGATGCAGCAATATTAATATTAAGTGAAAAATGCATATTTCATAAAAACCTTTGGGTGAAATAATACATGAATCACAGAGATATATTTCAAGATGTCAAATGGGAGTTCATGGTATGAAAATAAAATACTAACTAAAGTAATGCCAGGTGCAATAGAAATGAGAGAAATGTACCTAGGTCTTGAGGTACAGAAAAGACAAAACTATCATTTGGATAAAACAGGGATTTTAGTCTTTTTCTTGAAACCCATTAGTGGATAGTCATCATTGCCTTCTCATTGTCACTATACACATGCTTTGTTCCCAATAAAGCTATTTCTGATTCTGTCTTTGAATTTGATTTTGTTGTTGACAGAAACAGAGTGAAATGTCGCAAATAGCATTTGGGAGGTTAGGGGGTGAATGGAGAGAAAGGAAAAGGACTCATGCTTCCCTGTTCTCATATTGGTGGTTCTCAAACTTTGAAATGTTTAGGAATTATCTGGGGAGGGAAGCATAGTACAAATACATATTTTTCAGGCCTTATCCTCACAGATGCATTCTAAGGCACCCCAAATACCAATTAGATTTACCCCTATGGCCCACTGAGTAACTCAAGACTGGATATATGTATCAGTTTTTCTCAACATTGCAGAAATAGCCTTCCTGGTTCCTCCCTCTGAAAATGCCACTCTACATGTTTCTTCTGAAATAGCCTATGCTTGTGGCCAAATACTGATGTCACGTAGAAATTTAAGGTGCAGAATCTAACTCTCAAACATCTTCAGGCTTTGAATGAATGTGTGGCCCTGGAGGTCTAAAAACTGTTATGTTGGCCGAGCTCAGTGGCTCATGCCTGTAATCCCAGCACTTTGGGAGGAGAATTCCTCTTGATCTGAAGACCATGAAATGAAGACGCAAGTTATCTTCCTTGTCTATAAACCCAATAGCCAGTAGTGACACGGGGATAGGGTAACTGCAATCAACACAGCCATTCAAAAAAGGGGAGGACAGAATCAAAGGTTCATAGCAGCCACTAGTCTGTAATATTTATGAAACCCAACCAGACCTATATCAATAGTTCCTTTGCTCTGAAGCCATTTCCTACTTTGATAGTATTTTTCTGAAAGAGATGGGGCTGGTGACTTTTATTTTAAAATGAACAAGTTCTTCCTTCTTAATATACCCTATAAATTCTCAAAAAGTGAACAGTTCCATCTTTAATTTTTTCCTCACTTCTCATATTTTACTGTATAAATAATAAAATTATTAGAAAAAGCCAAGTAGCACTTTCAGCATTCTGCCTGAAAATCTGTTTAGCAAGATCCTCAAGATCTTTCTTTACCTCATTACTCCAAGCAACAGTTTGGCTAACTGTTCTGCTGGGACATATCTCACATGGCTGTCAGGCCTCTGAGCCCAAGCTAAGCCATCATATCCCCTGTGACCTGCACATGTACATCCAGATGGCCTGAAGCAATGGAAGATCCATAAAAGACGTGAAAACAGCCTTAACTGATGACATTCCACCATTGTGATTTGTTCGTGTCCCACCCTAACTGATACATATATTCTCCCCCACCCTTAAGGAGGTACTTTGTAATATTCTCCACCCCTCCGCCCTTAAGAAGGTACTTTGTAATATTCTTCCCCGCCCTTAAGAATGTACTTATCCCAAACCTATAAGAACTAATGATAATCCCACCACCCTTTGCTGACTCTCTTTTCGGACTCAGCCTGCCTGCACCCAGGTGAAATAAATAGCCTTATTGCTCACACAAAGCCTGTTTGGTGGTCTCTTCACACGGACGCGCGTGACATTTGGTGCCGAAGACCTGGGTCAGAGGGACTCCTTCGGGAGTCATGTCCCCGGTCCTCACCCTCACTCCGTGAAGACATCCACCTATGACCTTGGGTCCTCAGACCAACCAGCCCAAGGAACATCTCACCAATTTCTAATCGGGTAAGCGGTCTTTTCACTCTCTTCTCCAGCCTCTCTCACTACCCTTCAATCTCCCTGTCCTTCCAATTCCAGTTATTTTTCCTCTGTAGTAGAGACAAAGGAGACACATTTTATCCGTGGACCTAAAACTCTGGCACTGGTCACAGACTCGGGAAGGCAGTCTTCCCTTGGTGTTTAATCACTGCGGGGATGCCTGCCTGATTATTCACACACATTCCATTGGTGTCTGATCACCGCAGGGATGCCTGCCTTGGTCATTCACCCACATTCCCCTGGTGGCAAGTCAATTGTTGGGACACCTTCTTTGGCTACTCACCCACATTGCAGCCCAGGGCTGCTCCCCACCCCGCTTCTCCGTGTCTCTACCCTTCTCTTTAAGCTTGCCTCCTTCACTATGGGCAACCTTCCACCCTCCATTCCTCCTTCAAAACCTCTTCAACTCACACCTGACCTAAAACCTAAATGCGTTATTTTCTTCTGCAATACTGCTTGGCCCCAGTACAAACTCGACAGTAGTTCCGAGTGGCCACAGAATGGCACTTTCAATTTGTCTATTCTACAAGACCTAGATAATTTTTGTCAAAAAAATGGGCAAACGGTCTGAGGTGCCTGATGTCCAGGCATTGTTTTACACATCGGTCCCTTCCTAATCTTTGCTCCCAATGCAACTCATCCCAAATCTTTCTTCTTTCTTTCCTGTCTGTTCCTTCAGTCTCCACCCCAAGCTCTGAGTCCTTTGAATCCTCCTTTTCTATGAACCCATCTGACCTCTCCCCTCCTCCCTAGGCTGCTCCTCGCCAGGCCGAGCCAGGTCCCAATTTTTCCTCAGCCTCTGCTCCCCCACCCTATAATCCTTCTATCACCTCCCCTCCTCACACCCGGTCTGGCATACTGTTTTGTTCCATGACTAGCCCTCCCCCACCTGCCCAACAATTTCCTCTTAAAGAGGTGGCTGGAGCTAAAGGCATAGTCAAGGTTAATGCTCCTTTTTCTTTAGCTGACCTCTTCCAAATCAGTTAGCATTTAGGCTCTTTTTCATTAAATATAAAAACCCAGCCCATTTCATGGCCCGTTTGGCAACAACCCTTAGATGCTTTACCACCCTAGACCCAGAGGGGCCAGAAGGTTGTCTTATTCTCCATATGCATTTTATTACCCAATCCACTCCCGACATTAAAAAAAAAGCTCCAAAAATTAGATTCCACCCTCAAACCCCACAACAGGACTTAATTAACCTCGACTCAAGGTGTACAATAATAGAGTAGAGGCAGCCAAGTAGCAATGTATTTCTGAGTTGCAATTCCTTGCCTCCACTGTGACACAAACCCCAGCCACATCTCCAGCACACAAGAACTTCAAAATGCCTAAGCTGCAGCAGTCAAGCATTCTTTCAGAACCTCCTCCATCAGAATCTTGCTTCTAGGGCCAAAGAATGCCCGCAGCACAGGATTCCTCCTAAGCTGTGCCCTGTCTGTGTGGGCCTCCACTGGAGGTTGGACTGTCTGACTCACATCGCCACTGCTCCTAAAGCCCCTGGAGCCCCAATCCAGTGTTCATTGGCCGACTCCTTCCCAGATCTCCTCGGCTTAACAGCTGAAGACTGACGCTGCCCAATCGCCTCAGAAGTCCCCTGGACCATCACAGACACCGAGCTTTGGGTAACTCTTACAGTGGAGGGTAAGTCCATACACTGTTTAATCAATACGGGGGCTACCCACTCCACATTACCTTCTTTTCAAGGGCCCGTTTCCCTTGCCCCCATAACTGCTGTGAGTATTGACAGCCAAGCTTCAAAACCCCTTAAAACTCCCCGACTCCGGTGCCAACTTGGACAACATTCTTTTATGCACTCGTTTTTAGTTATCCCCACCTGCCCAGTTCCCTTATTAGGCCGAGACATTTTAACCAAATTATCTGCTTCCCTGATTATTCCTGGACTACAGCCACATCTCATTGCCACCCTTCTTCCCAACCCAAAGCCTTCTTTGCATCTTCCTCTCGTATCCCCTGACCTTAACCCACAAGTATGGGACACCTCCACTCCCTCTCTGGCAACTGATCACACGCCCATTACTATCCCATTAAAACCTAATCACCCTTACCCTGATCAACGTCAGTATCCCATCCCACAAAAAGCCTGTTATCACTCGCCTGCTACAGCATGGGCTTCTAAAACCTATAAAATCTCCTTACAGTTCTCCCATTTTACCTGTTCAAAAACCGGACAAGTCTTACATGTTAGTTCAGGATCTGTGCCTTATCAACCAAATTGTTTTTCCTATCCACCCTGTGGTGCCCAACCCATATACTCTTTTCTACTCAATACCTTCCTCCACAACTCACTATTCCATTCTTGGTCTTAAAGATGCTTTTTTCACTATTCCCCCACACCCCTTGTCCCAACCTCTCTTTGCTTTTACCTGGACTGACCCTGACACCCATCAGTCCCAGCAGCTTGCCTGGGCTGTACTGCCTCAAGGCTTCATGGACACCCCCCATTACTTCAGTCAAGCCCAAATTTCTTCCTCATCCATTACCTATATCAGCATAATTCTTCATGAAAACAAATGTGCTCTCCCTGCTGATCGTGTCCAACTGATCTCTGAAACCCCAACCCCTTCTACAAAACAACAACTCCTTCTCTTCCTGGGCATGGTTGGGTACTTTCTCCTTTGGATACCTGGTTTTGCCATCCTAACAAAACTGTATATAAACTTACAAAAGGAAACCTAGCTGACCCCATAGATCCTAAATCCTTTCCCCACTCCTCTTTCCATTCCTTAAAAACAGCCCTAGAAGCTGCTCCCACACTAACTCTCCCTAACTCATCCCAACCCTTTTCATTACACACAGCCAAAGTACAGGGCTGTGTGGTCAAAATTCTTACTCAAGAGCCAGGACTGCACCCTGTAGCCTTTCTGTCCAAACAACTTGACCTTAATGTTTTAGGCTGGCCATCATGTCTCTGTGGGGTGGCCACCGCCACCCTAATACTTTTAGAGGCCCTTAAAATCAAAAACTAAGCTCAACTCACTCTCTACAGTTCTCATAACTTCCAAAATCTATTTTCTTCCTCACACCTGACACATATACTTTCTGCTCCCTGGCTCTTTCAGCTGACTCACCCTTTGTTGAGTCTCCCACAGTTACCATTGTTCCTGACCCGGAATTCAATCCGGCCTCCCACATTATTCCTGATACCACACCTGACCCCCATGATTGTATCTCTCTGATACACCTGGCATTCACTCCATTTCCCCATATTTCCTTCTTTCCTGTTCCTCACCCTGATCACACCTGGTTTATTGATGGTAGTTCCACCAGGCCTAATTGCCACACACCAGCAAAGGCAGGCTGTGCTATAGTATCTTCCACATCTATCATTGAGGCTACCACTCTGCCCGACTCCGCTACCTCTCAGAAAGCTGAACTCATTGCCTTAACACGAACCCTCACTCTTGCAAAGGAATTATGCATCAATATTTATACTGACTCTAAATATGCCTTCCATATCCTGCACCACCATGCTGTTATATGGGCTGAAAGAGGTTTCCTCACTACACAAGGGTCCTCCATCATTAATGCCTCTTTAATAAAAACTCTTCTCAAGGCTGCTTTACTTCCAAAGGAAGCTGGAGTCATTCACTGCAAGGGCCACCAAAAGGCATCAGATCCCATTGCTCAGGGCAACGCTTATGCTGATAAGGTAGCTAAAGAAGCAGCTAGCATTCCAGCTTCTGTCCCTCATGGCCAGTTTTTCTCCTTCTCATTGGTCACTCCCACCTACTCTCCCACTGAAACTTCCACCTATCAATCTCTTCCCACACAAGGCAAATGGTTCTTGGACCAAGGAAAATATCTCCTTCCAGCCTCACAGGCCCATTCCATTCTATCGTCATTTCATAACCTCTTCCATGTAGGTTACAAGCTGCTAGCCTGCCTCTTAGAACCTCTCATTTCCTTTCCATCATGGAAATCTATCCTCAAGGAGATCACTTCTCAGTGTTCCATCTGCTATTCTACTACTCCTCAGGGATTGTTCAGGCCCCCTCCCTTCCCTACACATCAAGCTCGGGGATTTTCACCTGCCCAGGACTGGCAAATTGGCTTTACTCACATGCCCTGGGTCAGGAAACTAAAATACCTCTTGGTCCAGGTAGACACTGTCACTGGATGGGTAGAGGCCTTTCCCACGGGGTCTGAGAAGGCCACCACGGTCATTTCTTCCCTTCTGTCAGACATAATTCCTCGGTTTGGCCTGCCCACCTCTATACAGTCCAATAACGGACCAGCCTTTATTAGTCAAATCACCCAAGCAGTTTCTCAGGCTCTTGGTATTCAGTGGAAACTTCATACCCCTTACCGTCCTCAATCTTCAGGAAAGGTAGAATGGACTGATGGTCTTTTAAAGACACACCTTACCAAGCTCAGCCTCCAACTTAAAAAGGGCTGGACAGTACTTTTACCTCTTGCCCTTCTCAGAATTAGAGCCTGTCCTTGAGGTCCTACAGGGTACAGTCCATTTGAACTTCTATATGGATGCACTTTCTTGCTCAGCCCCAACCTCATCCCAGACACTAGCCCTCTAGGTGACTATCTTCCAGTCCTCCAGCAGGCTAGACAGGAAATTTTCCGGGCTGCTAAACTTCTCTTGCCTACTCCAGATTCCCAGCAATATGAAGACACCCTAGCTGGACGATCAGTTCTTGTTAAGAATCTGACCCCTCAAACTCTACAACCTCGATGGACCAGACCCTACTTAGTCATCTATAGTACCCCAACTGCTGTCCCCCTGCAGGACCCTCCCCATTGGGTTCACCATTCCAGAATAAAGCTGTGTCTGTTGGACAGCCAGCCTGATATCTGCTCTTCCTCCTGGAAGTCACAAGTACTTTCCTCTACTTCCCTTAAACTCACTCGCATTTCTGAAGAACAATAATAACCCTTATGAGCCTAATATATCCCTTCATTCCATTAGGTCTATCCATCCTTACCCTACTCTTTGGAACAGGGCTTTACGCAGTCACCCCCACTTGGACTGCGCCCCAAAAACTTGTCATCCCTACTATATTCTGTCTAATCATACTCCTATTCACCATTCTCAACTACGCATAAATGACCTGCTCTTGTTTACACTGCCAGTTTACATTGTTTCTCCAAGCCATCACAGCTGATATCTCCTGGTGCTATCCCCAAACTGCCACTCTTGACTCCCTCTTGGAGTGGATAGATTATCTTTGCTGACAGGGCACTCTCCAATACTTCCACCCTGATGAAGTTCTATTCTTTACTTTTATACTCACTCTTATTCTCACTCCCATTCTTATGCCCCTCTCTACTTCTCCCTAGTTACCTCCAGCATACTATCAATCTTACCCACTCTCTCCTCACTGCCCCCAATCCCTCTCTAGCAAAGAGTTGTTGGCTATGTGTTTCCCTTTCTTCCTGCTCTTACACAGCCATCCCCACTCTACAGGCTGGCTGGGATACCTCTCCCATCTCCCTGCACCTCAGAACCTCCTTTAATAGCCCTCATCTTTACCAGCCTGAGGAATTTCTTTAGTTTCTAGACAAATTTGGTGAGAAGTCCCCAGACATTTCACACCAAAAAGCTGCCACACTTATCTGCATCTACTTACGGCACTGTTCTCCTTATGTCAATTCCACCCCCCCATATTTGTACCCCTAACCACAAAAACAACTATCCCTGTTGCCTCCCCTTTATGCATCTCCCGACAACAGCCTACTGAAATCCCTTTAGGCAACCTTCCACTATCCAAATGTTCCTTTACTCTTTATCTCCAGAAGCCAGCCACACACATTACCAAACGGATGGGAGCATTCCAGCTTCCCATTACTGATAAGCCCTCTATCATTACTGACAAACTAAAAAACATTGGCAGTCACTATTGTTTAGGAAGACACCTACCCTGCATCTCACTCCATCCTTGGCTACCCTGCTCATCTGAATCTCCTAGCCCCACCTCTTTCTTGCTTATACCCAGCCCCATGAATAACAGTGAAAGTTTACTTGTAGATGCTATGCGCTTTCTCATACACCAAGGAAAGAGAACCTCTCCCTCTACGCAGTTGCACCATCAATCCCCATTACAACCTCTAACGGCTGCTGCCCTTGCTGGATCTCTAGGATTTTGGGTGCAGGATTCCTCTTTCAGTACACCCTCTCACTTTTTCACTTTACATTTCCAGTTCTGCCTGACACAAGGTCTCTTCTTTTTATGTGGCTCTTCCGCCTACATGTGCCTACCTGCCAACTGGACGGGCACAGGTACTGTAGTCTTCCTTGCCCCGAAAATCCAGTTTGCAGATGGGAATGAACAACTGCCTGTCCCCCTCATGACACCAACATGACAAAAAAGAGTCATCCCACTAATCCCTTTACTTGTGGGCCTAGGACTTTCTGCCTCCATTATTGCACTTGGAACTGGAATAGCAGGCATCTCAACCTCTGTCACAACATTCCACAGCCTCTCTAATGACTTTTCTGCTAGCATTACAGACATATCACAAACTTTATCTGTTCTCCAAGCCCAGGTTGACTCTTTAGCTGCAGTTGTCCTCCAGAACTGCTGAGTCCTCGATTTGCTCACTGCTGAAAAAGGAGGATTCTGTATATTTTTAAATGAAGAGTGTTGTTTTTACCTAAATCAATCTGGCCTGGTATATGACAACATAAAAAAACTCATGGATAGAGCCCCAAAACTCACCAACCAAGCAAACAATAACGTTGAATCCCCTTGGACACTCTCTAATTGGACGTCCTGGGTACTCCCAATTCTTAGTCCTTTAATACCTATTTTTCTCCTTCTCTTATTCAGACCTTGTGTCTTTCATTTAGTTTCTCAATTCACGCAAAACCACATCCAGGCCATCACCAACAATTCTATATGTCAAATGCCCCTTCTAACAACCCCACAATATCACCCCTTACCCAAAATCTTCCTTCAGCTTAATCTCTCCCACTCTAGGTTCCCACACCGCACCTAATCCCACTTGAAGCAGCCCTGAGAAACATCGCCCATTATCTCTCCATACCACCCCTCCCAAAATTTTCCCTGCCCCAACACTTCAACACTATTTTATGTTATTTTTCTTATTAATATAAGAAGACAGGAATGTCAGGCCTCTGAGCCCAAGCTAAGCCATCATATCTCCCGTGACCTGCACACATAAATCTAGACGGCCTGAAGCAATTGAAGATCCACAAAAGAAGTGAAAATAGCCTTAACTGATGACATTCCACCATTGTGATTTGTTCCTGTCCCACCCGAACTGATACATATATTCTCCCCCACGCTTAAGAAGGTACTTTGTAATATTCTTCCCCGCCCTTAAGAATGTACTTATCCCAAACCTATAAGAACTAATGATAATCCCACCACCCTTTGCTGACTCTCTTTTCGGACTCAGCCTGCCTGCACCCAGGTGAAATAAACAGCCCTGTTGCTCACACAAAGCCTGTTTGGTGGTCTCTTCACACAGACGCACATGACAATGCCCTTTCTTCCAGCCTCTGATTTCCTTACTGTCCTCTAAGGCGTCACTCATAAGGCCATTACAGATTTCACAAATAGTCTTCTTAAGGCCTAGTTTCCACCTGCTACCTAGTCCCCAAACCAATATCGTATGTTTTAAATTTTCTTAAGATTGCACCCCACTCTTGGCACCAAATTCTGTTCCAGTTATCTACCCTGTGTAAATAACTACTCAAAACAACATTTTTTTTTCCCTCATAAATCCGTGGATCTGGAATTCAGGCATTGCACAATGGAGACGGTTCACCTCTGCCCTGCAATGTCTGGGGCCTCAACTGTTATGACTTGAATGGCTGGGTGCTAGAACAGGAAATGAGCTATATTGAGGTTTCTAATAGTATGGTCCTTATCGGGGGAACCCGCCCCCAATATTTCAACATAGGTTCTTTCTATTTTCCATAAGTGTCGGCTGGCTGAGAAATAAAGATAAAGAGTACAAAGAGAGGAATTTTACAGCTGGGCTGCCAGGGGTGACATCACATATCAGTAGGACCGTGATGCCTGCCTGAGTCTCAGACCAGCACAGTTTTATTAAGGGTTTCAAAAGGGGAGGGGGTGTAAAACAGGGAGTAGGTACAAAGATCACATGCTTCAAAGGCAAAAAGCAGAACAAAGATCACATGCTTCTGAGGGAAAAGGACAAAAGGCAAAACAGAACTACTGATAAGGGTCTATGTTCAGCTGCGCACTTCTTGTCATGATAAACATCTTAAACAACAGAAAACAGGGTTTGAGAGCAGACAACCGGTCTGACCACAAATGTACCAGGGTGGAGTTTTTCCCTACCCTAATAAGCCTAAGGGTACTGCAGGAGACCAGGGTGTATCTCAGTCCTTATCTCAACCGCGTAAGACAGACACTCCCAGAGCAGCCGTTTATAGACCTACCCCCAGGAATGCATTCCTTTCCCAGGGTATTAATATTAATATTCCTTGCTAGGAAAAGAATTTAGCAATATCTCTCCTACTTGCACGTCCATTTATAGGCTCTCTGCAAGAAGAAAAATATGGCTCTTTTTGCCCGACCCTGCAGGCCGTCAGACCTTATGGTTGTCTTCCCTTGTTCCCTAAAAATCGCTGTTAGATTCTGTTCTTTTTCAAGGTGCACTGATTTCATATTGTTCAAACACACGTTTTACAATCAATTTGTACAATTAACACAATTATCACAGTGGTCCTGAGGTGACATACATTCTCAGCTTACAAAGATAACAGGATTAAGAGATTAAAGTAAAGACAAGCATAAGAAATTATATAAGTATTATTTGGGAACTGATAAATGTCCATGACATTTTCATAATTCATGTTCCTCTGCTACTGCTCCAGCTGGTCCCTCCATTCAGGGTCCCTGACTTCCCGCAACAGGTCTTCAAGGTAGTCAGACTTTAAATTGGTAGCTCAGGGCTCCAAGAATGAGTGTAACTAGGGGCCTGGGCAGAAGCTGCAAAACTTCTTATGATTTAGCTTCAGAAGTCCTAGACTGTCACTTCTGCCACATTCTGTTTGTCAGACAAGTTACCATAGCCGGCCCAGATTCAAAGGGAGTAAAATTAGACTTCATCTCTTAATGAGAGAAGTAGCAAAGAATTTGCAACCATCTTTAATTGATCATAAAGGATATTGTAGATAGCAAGAATTGGTTTGCTCCACATCAATTTCAACTTAATTTTATTACTGCAGAGGTGAGAAAGGTTCTTTTAACCTAAAGCTAAAAGCTGTATTTCCTCCACTCTCTTGCAGTTGGGTTTAGAGGTGTGAACCAAGTTTAGTAAGTGGAGAGACAAGGCATGGGGCATCTCCTTTTCTGGTATACAACATTGCAGAGAGAGACAGAGGTTCTACAGTTTGCATCTGAAATAGCAGTATACTATTTAGTGCTATGCAGTGGTGGGCAGAATTCTAAGATGACCTCTAAGATCTCCTTTCCCTGGTGTACACACCGTATCCCAGTTATTGAATAAGACACTAATCTAGGTGCTGCTGTGAAGCATGTTGCAGAAGTAATTGAAGTCCTTCTTCAGTTGCCTTTAAGTTATGGATATTATCCTGTGTAAGCCTGACATGATAATCAGGTGAGTCCCTAAAAGAAGTCAGAGAGACACTCTCCTGCTGACCTTGAAGGAACAAACTGCCTTGTTGTGGCAGGGAATGGCAGGGAGCCTCTAGAGCTGAGAACAGCTCAGGTTGACAGCCAGCAATCAAGCAGGAGCCTCAACCCTACAACTGCAAGGAGCTGAACTCTGCCAACAGCCAGGGAGCTTGGAAGAGGACCTCGAGCCACAGATGAGATTATTGTCCCAGATGACTCCTTGATTTCAGCCTGGTGAGACCCTGACCAGAGAACCCAGTTGAGCTGTGCCTTGACTTGACAAATGGGTGTTGTTTTAAGCCACTAAGTTTGTGATACTTTGTTACATAGCGTTTTAGTCTGCTAAAGCTGCGATAACAAAATATCTTAGCCTGGGTAACTTATAGACAACAGAAATTTATTTCTCACAGTTCTGGAGACTGGTAAATCCAAATCAAGGTACTGGGAACATTTGGTGAGGGCCTGAATCCTAAAGGATGGCACCTTCTCACTGCATCCTTACATGGTAGAAGGAGCCAACTAGCTCTCTGGGGTCTCTTTTATAAGGGCACTAGTCCCATTCATGCAGGGAGAGCCTTCATGAGTTAATCACCTCCCAGAAGCCTTCTCATACCATCACATTGAGGATAAAGTTTCAATATATAAATTTTGAAGAGATTAAAAACATTCAAACCATAGTAAATAGCAACAGAAAACTAATACAGGCAGCATTGCAGTTTGGCTGGTAGCTTCTTGATTGTCACAATGCAGAGTGATTCTAGAGTCAAAAAACGTAGCACAAAAGATTCCTGATTCTACAATTTCTAGACCATGGCAGAGGCTGGAGGTCCAATGGCAGCAAGTTTGTGGTGCATTTTGTAGTCATTCCTAAACTAGCCTAGAGTTTTTTTCAAGCACTCAATAGCAACAACAGGTTCTGTTTTCTGCATTTGACTAGTAGAGTTTTGTTTGAACCCACAAGACAGACTCAGCACCAAGACCTAAAGTTTAACAGAAGGGCTATTGTTTCCTACAGCTGGCAAAGAAATTCATCCCAAACCAATTTTCCTTGATGCTTGATCCCATCTTGGGGCAAATGTATCTATGTAATTATGAACTGAAAGATCTGTACCATTAAAGACTTATTCTTCAGAGCACAAGCCACTTCGTTGTAGGAAACTGTCTCAGAATAGCAAAACAGAGAGTATTCTAGCTTTCTTCACATCAGCTATTGATGACCACGTGATCAATGAATTCAGTGACACAAAGACACTGACAGGGTTCTACTGAATTCAGCCAACAACCAATGATCTTGGAAGAGGGTATCAGGTGGGTAATAGGTATAAAGTGAAACTTCCAGAAGGACCCGGTCATTCTCCCTCTACATACAGATAAGTACTAGTTGCAGATATATATATATACTCTTAAGAATTTTCAAGAATATTTAGAGAATAGAGTCCTCATCAAAGATTTAGATGGTGTCAAAGACCTCAAACAGAGATGGGTCAGACCTCTTTGATCCTTCTGGGCTGGCTCAAAATGTGGCAGAAAGGTACATACAGGTTCTGGTACCTGATGGAAGATTGATGAGTGGAACCTGCACATGAAGGCTCTATGTGTTATTAATCTTGTTTACTAAGGATAAAGTGTGTAAAATACATGGATGAGCATCTGGCGTATGGTAAGTTTTCAGTAAATATTAGGTTTTTAAAAAATCCTTTTTACGAAAGTAACTATGTACATGTAAAACTTTGCTAAATTTTGTAAATAATTACAATAAAATATGTGGTTTCTACTTTCAATGAGTTTCTAAACCAACAGATAAACATTTAAAATGGTTATTTCCTAAATAGTTAATGAATTAAAGAGAGACAGAAAACGCAAACAAAAAAGTAACACCTTTTGTTTTAAAGAGATTTTCTTACTAAGACAATGGGATATTGATTTTAAAAAGAAAGATCTACTGCTATAATATGATTACATTACTTGGAACATAATTTTTTTTTTTTTTGAGATGGAGTCTCAATCTGTCTCCCAGGTTGGAGTGCAGTGGCGCGATCTCGGCTCACTGCAACCTCTGCCTCCTGGGTTCAAGTGATTCTCCTGCCTCAGCTGCCCGAGTGGCTGGGATTACAGGTGCCCACCACCATGTTCAGCTAATTTTGTATTTTTAGTAGAGACGGGGTTTCACCATGTTGGCCAGGCTTGTCTCGAACTCCTGACCTCAGGTGATCCACCTGCCTCGACCTCCCAAAGTGCTAGGATTACAGGCGTGAGCCACTGCGCCCAACCGACCATAATTTTTTTTATATTGCAACACCAAACAATAGCACATAGTATGGTAGCAAATGGAAAGTGAAATGGGTGATCGAGCATAATCAAGAAAATAATTTAAACCATAGGAATGGTGAAGTAGATAGAGCTACACATTCAGTTTTATATTTGAATTCTTTCAACTTTGCAAAATTTCTCTCAAATATATTTAGACACAAGGTGTCAGCACAACCTTGAGCTCAGTTAATTCTCATCAGAATATCCAGATAATCAGGTAAGGAAGATTTGATCTAAAGATGGCAATGTAGCTTTGTTTCTCTCTTGTACTAGGCGTTCTGCTTGGTTATTTAGTACTGATGATTTTTAAATGCTCTAATATAAACTCCAAGGGGTGCTCAAACATAATATTAAGGCAAAGCACAAAACCACAGGAAAGCAATAAAATGTATCTAATGGGATTATGTAATAAATCATATAGATTTTACATAAGCGATTTATATGGCAATAAACCCCTAATATGATTATGAAAAATGTGTAAAGTTTACTATTGTTTGTTTCATGCCTAATTAGAGGTCATGCATCTCAGACTATTAACAATAGAATGCCATTTCTACAAATACATGTAATCATTAACATGTACCTGCTCAGGCTCAAGCAGAATCCAATAAACTGTTTCCACTGTTAATGAATATATTTTCTAGATTTCCACTTCTTATCACAGGTGTTTCATTTATTTGTGTTCCTCCACTAACTGACTTTCAAAATACTACTCTGTCCACAGTGCTTGGGAATAAATCAGGACATTACATAATGATAAAAGGGTCAATTCACCCAAAAGACATAATAGTCCTAAATGTGTATGCACTCAAAGCTGAATCTTTCTTCCTCGGTTTTTTCATAAATTTGCTAGATCTGAGTATGTACATCTTTACGCCTTCTGACAAATTATGCTATAATGCCCTCCAGAAAGGTTACACTAATTTGTACCCCAGCCAGGATATGTGAAAAAAGCCTCCTCTCTTCATTTTCACCAAAACCAGATGACCATTCCATCTAAAATAGTTTTTAGATGTGGTTTTGCTTCTTTCCTATTTCTCCTACTAATGGCAACTATAAAAGCACAGGGATTTTAAAAAATATAAATTTTCATACCTGCTTTCAATAACAAATGAGTTATGATGCTATTTATATGTAAACCTAGTGCTTCAAAATGCTTAAGAATGGTTCAAAGGCTTTATTTGAAATTTGATATGGAATGGTCATTTTACACAAACCTGTGTGTATGTGTATGTGTACGTGTGTGTGAGACAGTGCCAAGATAAGTAAATTCTCCTCTAGTAACATTTGTATACATCTTTATCACTAAATTGTCACATTATCATTATTTTTTTGATACAAGTCTTGCTCTGCTGCTTAGCCCGGAGGGCAGTGGTACACTCACAGCTCGCTGCAGCCTCGACCTCCCAGGCTCAAGGGATCCTCTCACCTCAGCCTGTCAAATAGCTAAGACTACAGGCATGCACCACCATGCCTGGCTAATTATTTTTTTTATTTTTTGTAGATATGGGGTCTCCCTATGTTGCCCAGGCTGGTCACAAACTCCTGGCCTCAAGAGATCCTTTGGCCTCTGAAAGTGCTGAGATTACGGGTGTGAGCCACTAAGCCTGGCCCATTTTTAATCAAGTTTTGCCTCATAGATTGTGACCCTCCTTAATGGCAGGGATTTTGTTTGGCATGTTTTTTACTATCAGGGGATTACAGAGTCTCGTATAATAACCACTCAATAAATGTTTGGGGGAAGGAAGGCTGAGAGGAAGGAAGACATGAGGGAAGGAAATATAAACTTGGTCCTTATCCAAATAGCACAAATTCCAATTCACGTAATCATGTTAAAGATGGTTAACTGTATTCACTGTTTTTAAAAATTAATTTGTTGGCTTCTAAATCAATTGACTATATTAAAAGTCTGAAGGCTGGGCATGGTAGCTCACTCCTGTAATCCCAGCACTTTGGGAGGCCAAAGAGTTTGAGACCAGCCTGGGCAACAAGGGAAAAATCCATCTCTACAAAAAAAAATACAAAAATCAGCAGGGCGTGGTTGTGCACCCCTGTAGTCCCAGCTACTCAGGAGTCTAAGGCAGAAGAATTGCTTGAACCCAGGAGGCGGAGGTTGCGGTGAGCTGAGATTGCACCTCTGTACTCAAATATCCTCTTTTGTCGAAATTTTTTGTAAACTCCAGTGGATAGTCTGCATTTCATATTAGTGAAAGAGTTTGGGCTGGTCGACAATGCCAGAATGCTCTGTGTGAACAACTCAACCCATGTATAAGCGAGTTACATCTCTTTCTTTCCTGCTTAATTACAGAATTGGGTTTTATTTTGTTAAAATGAAGGTAAATTTTTCATTACAATTAGAATTTTATATTTGTGAAAAACACTTGTAAAAGCGAATCTAATGAGGATTCCATTAGCCTGAAACTTCTATTTAAGCAGAACTTTGCTAGGCTGTTCACAGTAATGACTTTATAAAGTATGCAGTGTTTTGAAATGCATTCTGAATTATCAAGGATTTAATTATATGTAATATAGGTTTAGACATTGTTTTCAAGTAATTTAAAAATTGATGGTGCATTAAGAATCAGCAATGGTTTTAGAGCTATTGTTGATTTTAGAGATTATCAAATTCAAATGCATCGTTGTGCACATGAGAAAACTGAGGCCCCAGGCAGGTGGACTTATCCAGAGTCACATTAGTTAATGTCACAGTGGAGCTGGAACCCAGGTCTACTGAATCCCAGCCAAACACCATATCCATTGATTGCACAGATTGACTAACAAACCCCTTCTTTTTTTTCTTTCAATTGACCTTAATTCCTCACTTAGAGAATAGAGTTTTTCTGTAATAATATAAAAAACAAAAATAGGTCAAATGGCCAGTTGCATAAAAGACATAGAGATCTGTCTCTATGATGAGGAAAAACTGAGTTAATTGCCTAAAGTCTGAATATTTTGAAATCAAGTCTTTCAGAATAAACTCTTCAGTCTAGGATCTGCCTTACCCTTTTATAGCTATAGGTTTGGCACAGTGCTGGCATCTGCTACCTACTTGTTAGCTAACAATGAAGAATGATAAGAATTAACAAGAAGCAACTTGGTCCTCATTCTTCCCGCCCTTCATGATCAAGTTGAGCATCTTTATCTCATTAATATCTGACTGTGAAATCCCTTGACACCTGAAAAGACTGGCAATTTATTTATAAGGATATGGTACCTGATTGTGAAGCTTTCTGCTGGCAGAGATTTTTCAAAGATTTATCTTTCTCCTGGAGTAAATATCATATTTTTAATTATTCATAGTGTTTCTCCTGTTTTACCACAAGCTACCTCAGAGGACAGAAGTGCATTAAGACTCTTCTGTTACTATAAGAGTGTGAAGTGTGAATAGAATATATATTTTTTAGCATTTCATCATTATTCTGGGCAAACAAAATTAAACATGATTTGCAAGTGCTGCCGTCAGTAACAACAAAAGGTGTAAAGTGATGTAACAGAATTTATACTGTATGCACACCAGAAAACGTAAATGAAAAATGCTCATAGTTGATGTGGAAACTGAAAAGATATCATATTCTTAACAGCTATATTAGCGAGGTAAAAATGTGAGCATGCCTATAAATATGACCAGAAAAGCTTTATTTAGATTTGTGCTAAAGGAATACTCCACAATTTTGAGAGTCTTCTATACAAGCTAAATTTGGTGAGCTGCCTTTTCTCATATTGAATCCTTAATAATTAGCCAAAGGAAGAGAAACTTTCCCCGTATTTTTAGGTTAGCTTAGGTTATTATCTTATAAGTGCTAATGTCAAAAGTGGCCCTATTGGCTTTTCTTTCAGGCTCGTTGAGATATAATTTGCACATAGTAGAATTCATCACTTTTAGTGTAAAATCCTATGAGTTTCAACGCATACAGTCATAACCATCACTACAATCAGGATATGGAACAGCTTTCTCTACCCAAAAGTCTCATGCACCTTGGTTTTCAACTTCTTGCCCTGCTTTTAATCCCCAGTAGCCATCAATCTTTTTTCTTTGGTTTTGCCTTTTTGAGAATGTCATATAAATGGAATAAAACAATATATAACTTTTTGGCTCTGGGTTCTTTCACTTTGCATAATGTGTTTGTGATTCATCTATTTATGTTTATTAGTAAATCTTTTTTTTTTTTTTGAGACAGAATGTCACTCTGTCGCCAGTCTGTAGCACAGTGGCATGATCTCGGCTTACTGCAACCTCTGCCTCCCAGGTTCAAGAGATTCTGTTGCCTCAGTCTCCCGAGTAGCTGGGACTACAGTCGCGCACCACCATGCCCAGCTAATTTTTGTATTTTTAGGGGAGATAGGGTTTCACCATGTTGGCTAGGATGATCTCGATCTCTTGACCTCGTGATCCGCCCACCTCAGCCTCCCAAAGTGCTGAGACTACAGGCATGAGCCACAGCGCCCAGCCAATCTGTTCCCTTTTATTGCTGAGTAGCATCCCCAGTTTATATACCCACTCAGCAACTGACAGGCATTGGTTTTGTTTCCAGTTTTTAGTGATTATAAATAAAACAACTAGAAACATTGATGTACAGTTTTCTGTGTTAACATAAGTTTTTATTTCTCTTGGATAAACATCTAAGAGTGAGATTTTTGGGTTATATGGTAACTTATGTTTAACTTTATTAGAAAATTCCAACCTGTTTTCCAAAGGGGCTATAACATTTTGCATTCCCACCAAATACATAAAACGTTAAGTTGCTTTGCATTTTCATCAGCACTTGATATGGAAAGTGGTTTTTGTTATTTTTTTAAAGTAAGCCATTCTAATAGATGCAGTGGTAACACATTATGATTTTAATTTGTATTTCCCTAATGTCCAATAATGCTTAGCATCTTTTAATGTGCTTATTTGCCATCTGTATATGATCTTTGGTGTAGTGTATGTTCAAATTTTTGCCATTTTCTTATTGGGTTATTTGTTTCTTTCTTTTTTTGACAGAGTCTCACTCTGTTGCTCAGGATGGAGTGCAGTGGCGCGATCTTAGCTCACTGCAACCTCTGCCTCCCAGGTTCAAATGATTCTCCTGCCTCAGCCTCCCCAGTAGCTGGGATTACAGGCACTCACCACCATGCCCAGCTAATTTTTTAAAAAATGTATTTTAGTAGAGATGGGCTTTCACCATGATGGCCAGCCTGGTCTTGAACTCCTGACCTCAAGTAATCCACCTGCCTCGGCTTCCCAAAGTACTGGGATTACAGGCCTGAGCTGCCACACCCGGCCTATTTGTTTCTTTATTATTGAGGGTTTTTTAAAAGAATTATTTCGATATGTAATGTGGTTACCAGTTCTTTAGGAGATATGTGTTTTGCAAATATTTAATTGCAGACTATGGCTTTCTTTTCCCTTTCTCAACAGTGTTTATGAAGAGCAGTGTTTTTAGTTTCTGTGAAGTTTTTTGCATATGAGTGTCCAATAGTTCTCATACCATTTCTTGAAAAGGCTGTTATTTCTCCATTAAATTGCCTTTGCACTGTCATCAAAATACAAATGACCACATAAGAATGGATCTGTTTCTGTTTCTGGTCTCTCTATTCATTTCCATTGATCTACATGTTCACCAAATACCACACTGTCTTTTTTTTTTTTTTTTTTTTTTGAGACAGAGTCTCACTCTGTCGCCCAGGCTGGAGTGCAGTGGCGCGATCTCGGCTCACTGCAAGCTCCACCTCCCGGGTTCACGCCATTCTCCTGCCTCAGCCTCCTGAGTAGCTGAGACTGCAGGTGCCTGCCACAGTGCCCGCCTATTTTTTTTGTATTTTTAGTAGAGACGGGGTTTCACCATGTTAGCCAGGATGGTCTCGATCTCCTGACCTCATGATCCACCTGCCATGGCCTCCCAAAGTGCCAGGATTACAGGCGTCAGCCACCGCGCCCAGCCAATACCACACTGTCTTAATTGCTGTGACTTGACAGTAAGTTTTGAAGTCAGATAGTGTGAATCCTCTAACTTTGTTATGTTAGTCAATACCAAGTGGGGGGAAATGTGGGTAAAATGGAGAATGCATGACCAACCTATAAACATTCAAATTTAATCTTTAAAACTTTGTGGGTTGGGTGTGACGGCTCACCCCTGTAATCCCAGCACTTTGGGAGGCCGAGGCGGGTGGATCACCTGAGGTCAGGAGTTCAAGACCAGCCTGACCAACATGGTGAAACCCTGTGTCTACTAAAGAAGAAAAAAAAAGCGGAGCACGGTGGCGCATGCCTGTAGTCCTAGCTACTCAGGAGGCTGAGCCAGTAGAATCACTTGAACCCAGGATGCAGAGGTTGCAGTGAGACAAGATCGTGCCACTGTACTTCAGCCTGGGCGACAGAGTGAGACTCTGTCTCAAAAAAGAAAAAAAATAGAGAAGGAAAAAGAAATGTAATCCCCTTGTCTATGTCAGAGGAGGGGCCTGGGGGGTAGGTGATTGGATCATGGGGACAGGCTTCCCCCTTGCTGTTCTCATGTCAGTGAGTGAGTTCTCATGACATCTGATGGTTTAAAAGTGTGGCACTTCCCTCTTCTCTCGCTCTTCTGCTGTCATGTAAGACATGCTTGGCTCCCCTTTGCCTTCCACCATGATTGTAGGTTTCCTGAGGCCTCCCCAGCCATGTGGAACTGTGAGTCAATTAAACCTCTTTCTTTATAAATTACCCAGTCTCAGGTAATTCTTTATAGCAGTGTGAAAATAGACTAATACACAGAGGCACTTTACAAATGCCCTTTAAGAAAGAAATCATAGTTCCCCTAAAATTCCCTCCAACTTTATGAACCTCTCCATTGCTTACTAATGCTTGCTTCCTTGAGGAAAAAGACTTTAAATTCACATTCAGATATGAGGTTTAAATGCAATGAGGCTGTTTCTTAAAAAGTTAAACATAAACTTACCATATGACCCAGCATCCACTCCTGGATATTTATTCAAGAAAAATGAAAATATGTGCCCACACAAAGACTCACACACCAATGCTCATAGCAGCATTATTTGTAATAGTCAAAAAGTGGAAGCAACCCAAATGTCCATCAACTATCATTTGTTTATCATTTGGACAGATGAAATGTGGTATATCCACAATAGAATACTATTCAGCAATTAAAGGAATGAGCAGAAACTGCTACAACATCTCAGGAATAATTGTGCTAAGTGAAAGGAGCCAGATACAAAATGTTACATACTGTATGATTTCATTTATCCTACAAAGACAAATCTAGGCCGGAAATGGTGGCTCGCGCCTGTAATCCCAGCACTTTTGGAGGCCCAGGCAGGTGGATTGCCCAGGAGTTTGAAAGTAGCCTGGGCAACATGGTAAAACTTGTCTCTACAAAAAAATAGAAAAATTAGCCAGGCGTGGTGGTATGCATCTGTAGTGTCCCAACTACTCAGGAGGCTGAGGTGGGAGGATTACCTGAACCCAGGTAGGTCAAGGCTGTAGTGAGCTGTGATCCTGTCTCTGTACTCCAGCTTGGGTGACAGAATGAGACCCTGAAGCAGGCAAGCAAGAGAGAGAGAGAGGGAGGGAGAGAAGGAGGGAGGGACAGAGGGAGGAAGGAAGGAAAAGAAGGAAGGAAAAGAAGGAAGGAAGGAAGGAGAGAGAAAGGAGAAAGAAAGAAAAGAAAGAAAGAAAGAAAAAAGAAAAAGAAAGAGAAAGAAAAAGAAAGAAAAAAAGAAAGCAAAGAAGAAAGAAAGAAAGAAAAAAAGAAAGAAAGAAAGAGAAAGAAAGATCTATAGAGACAAAAAGGTTAGTAGTTGTCCGGAGCTGAAGGTGGGAACATGAATATACTGTAAATCAGCATGAGGAAATTTATGGGGTTGAGGAAAGTATTCTAAAACTGGATTATGGGGATGGTTGTATAACTCAATAAACATGAAAAGTCATTGAACTATTCTTTAAATGGGTGAATTTTATGATATGTAAATTATACCTCAATAAAATTTTAAACATTCAAGTTTCTGGTTGAGGTAACAGTGCAGTGTGAATGAATTTCACGTACACTACAATTATTCTCTCTCTAAACTAATATAAATGGTTAGTTATAGAGTTTACCCCCTAGGGCTCAGGGAGAAGACAAGGATAGCAGAAGGGACTGGAGTGAGTGTGGGAGGAAAATGGAGGGACAGAAGGGCAAGGCAGCCTTGCAGAGACATTAAGAACTTGGATAGCCAGATCTTGGTTCCTATGCTGGCTCTACCACTTACTAACAGGTCAAGTGAGCACATATTAATCTTCTTTTAATGTCTATTACCTCTCTGTGAAATGGTGTCTCTCATAGCACACTGTGAAAAAAACAGAGATAATTTATGTAAAGTACTTAGCATAGTGCCAGGGCCATAAAAATAATTTTAAGTGACCTATTATTATTTAAAATAGCAGTTTTTTAAATAAAAGACAAAACTGCAAGGTGCCACTAATTTGCATGGGTATTCCTTATTTACCCTCAACTGGGAAGAAAGAGATTGATCTTTATCCTTCACAACCCAAAGTGCAAGCCTAGATATTATCCAGAGTTTCCTTCAACCCATCCGGAGTTCCTCTGGGGCTATGATCTCACATGTACACCACTACTGTATAGCAGCGCATCCTTGAAATAACTCCCTTAGAAAAAGACTCCATTTTACATTTCATCGGACACTTTGCCAACAAGAATAAGATGTTTTGCTTAATAAACAAATAACAAAGACTATATCCAACCAGATAAGAAAGTAAACAAACATACTCTTCCGCTATCAGTCGTCACCAGGGGACTCTATGGTCATAAAAACTTACTGTCACTCATGATTTATTGGGAGGCCGAGGCGGGCGGATCACGAGGTCAGAAGATCGAGACCATCCTGGCTAACACAGTGAAACCCCGTCTCTACTAAAAATACAAAAAATTAGCTGGGCGTGGTGGTGGGCGCCTGTAGTCCCACCTACTCGGGAGGCTGAGGCGGGAGAATGGCGTGAACCCGGAAGGCGGAGCTTGCAGTGCGCTGAGATCGCGCCACCGCACTCCAGCCTGGGCGACAGAGGGAGCTCCGTCTCAAAAAAAAAAAAAAAAAAAAAAAAAAAAAAAGCTTGGTATCTACTGCGCCAAAGGCTGAAGGCTGTGCCACATCAGAGACCCTTCCTTACAAGACCGACAGACCTCCCTGGCCCAGCCCATGAGATTCTTTTTGTTTTGTTAAAGCAAACTAAATATGGCCTGAGAAGACTCCGTATCTCTATATTTGAGTCCTTGCGGATGAACTGTAACCTAGCTTAATAGACAAAATTGAAAACCTAACTTAGGAGTATGTGCCTGTTAACAAGAGCTAAGTCTTGGCCAATCCCAGCGGCCATACTTCAACCATTCATTCACCGCTGAGTGTTCACGCTGTGTTCAAATAAGGCAAACGTCAAGCTGTAACCAATCTAGCCATTCTATACCTCACTTCCAATTTCTGTATGTCATTTCCCTTTTTTTGTCTATTAATATTCTTCCACCACGTGGCCATGCTGGATTCTCTGTGAATCTGCTGTGATTCTGGGGGCTGCCTGATTCCTGAATTGTTCATTGCTCAATTAAACTCCTTTAAATTTAATTCGGCTGAAATTTTTCTTTTATCAGCCTTCATCACTCTCCCTAGACTGGTACGTTAACCCTTTTTCCTATCTTTTCTCTTGATATTAGGAGTTACTTTGTTTGTAAAAGGTTACATCTATAACATTTCTTTTTTTGGTAGAGACAGGGTTTCGCCATGTTGCCCAGGGTGGTCTCAAATTCCTGAGGTCAAGCAATCCACCCGCCTCAGCCTCCCAAAGTGCTGGGATTACAGACGTGGGCCATGGTGCCCAGCCAAACCTATAACATTTCTATATTGATTCAGTGTACTACTATGTATGGTTTACAATACTGACTGGCTTGCAGAGTGTCTTGAGCCTGTGTGCCCGCAGCTCTGACTACTAGATGAATGAAAAATACTAAACAAAAATTGTCTTCTTAGAAACTGGTGACTTTTGTACTTAAAATAACATCAATGAAAATCTAACATTATAAAAAGACAATGAAGGTGGGTAGACCTGGTTTCCCCTAATAAGGTAATGAGGCCTACCGTTAACCAACTAGAGAAGGCCTGCTGGGGCCTTTCTCAAGGATCTAGGGGTGTCTTCACCCTAGCCTTGCACCTCCAGAATCTTCCTCCTTCCCCTCCTCCATACGTCAGCTGTCTAAGTGCCATCCACTTCTCTCCAGGAACAGGGACATTAATCTATCACACTCCAAGAACCCCAAAATAAAAGCCTCAGAAGCAAGTTTTCCTTTGATCTTCTCTTGTCCTCTTGCCTTTCGGTTCCATTCTCCCCGAACCTAGCCATAAAGCTGGAATCCCTCTTCCCCAAGGCAGGTGGTAGAAACCAGAACCCCTCTTCCCCAAAGCTAGCCATAAAACCTAAATATATTACTCAGTTTCCCCTCCATCTTTCTATGTAAAGACTGACCACAAAGAAATTATCTGACCTACCTTGTTTGACTATGGGTCATAAGACCCCATTCTAGAGAGGATCTGCCCCACACGCAGGAGGAGGAATGCCTGCTCAGGGAGATCAAGAAGAATCTAGACAGACAGGCCTTGTTGGGTTTCCCCAATCAGTCTATTAGCATTAGATCAGACCCTTTTTGTCCAATCATATTTCTACATGGCGGTTCATACTTTGTGAAATCTAAGCATACCCATGGACAATTTCCTCTGTATCTTTGGGTCTTCAATCTGAAGACCCCCATGTATTCATGTTAAATAAATGTGTACACCTTTTCTCCTATTAATCAGTCTGCCTCATATCAGTAATTTTCAGTGCACCCCCCCACCAGGGGACCAAGGCCTTGGCGCCTACATCGCCAAGCCTTGGTTTTGATAAGTGAAGAGAAGGTTTGACATTTTCTCCCTCAACAAAGCCTGGCTTTCCAGACTGTTCTCTCATTCAGGATGCCAAAATAAAATAAAAATTGACAGTCAGAACTGAGCTAGAACCAGTTGTTCTAGCTGGTATCTACCATCTCTATAAAGCAATGAAATATTGATTCAGTGAGTGAAGGCAATGGAGCTTTAAGAAAAATCTTAAACTGCATTGGCTTAAATTTTTAAAAATTATTATATTTGTTACAAATGTACAAAAAATTAATTTTAAATAAGAATTAAGGAATTTTAAATTATTTCCCACTACTGGTAAGAGAGAAGAGAAAGACATTTTCATACATTGTGTTCACACGCTGCTTGTGTTTGCATAAATTTACTAAGTATACTCAAAGGACCAAGTAGATGTCTGCTTTAACTTGTAACCTGCTCCTCTCTGCTCACCTCTACCTAACCCCCTCCTCTCTTTTCCTGAAAATTAAAAGAAGTGACAATAGAAAGCAATTTCCTCAACATGGAGAATTTTTGAGAAAGAAGAAATCAATGAGCTGTTTTCTCCTCTCTAAATAAGTTAGATTATAAACGGATTTGGACATGTCAAGGGCATAACTTTCTCTTTCCAACTATTATGTTTTGAGATTTAGGATAGCTTATCTATTGCATTTATATCAATCAATATGTTGTTATGAAATTTAGAGATTCCTTTTAAAGTTGGCAATCTTGGTAGTTTTTTTTTTACCTATTAATTCAGTGAATTTCTAACTTACTGTAAATGTTAATGCTTAAGGTCTTAAAGGTCTACATTTATATAGAATATCTTGATTCCAATTTTCTGTTGTTCTAGCAGAAGCTTTGCATTTGGAAAATGTTGCATTTCCATCTAGATCTACCCTACAGGCCTAGTGGAAGAAATTTTTTCCTGTCATACCTCTTACAATGAAATTTTAAGAAGCAAAAAAGGGGAGGCTTCTGATTAAATATGACAGATTGAATACACATGTTTGCCTCCATTTCCTTCCACAACCTCACTAACATGAAAGTAAAAAGATTACCTAAAAGACGTAAACCCATAAAGGCAATGACGAAGAAAGAAGAGATGACAGTACAACATGATAGAATTTATAGATGCATACATGAGTGGGAAGTTACTAGATAAGAGAAAGCTGAAACTTTAAGCTGACCGCAAGGCAAAGGGAGGTGGTCTAGAAACAAGACAATTGATTTTACGGAATCCAGAAAAGCTCAAAAATCAAAGGCATCACATATCTCAACGTGCTGATCAGGTGGGGCTAAAAACAGAAGGGCAGGGCCAGGCACAGTGGCTCACGCCTGTAATCCTAGCACTTTGGGAAGCCAAGGCAGGCGGATCACCTCAGGTCAGGAGTTTGAGACCAGCCTGGCCAACATGGTGAAACCCCATCTCTACGAAAAATACAAAAATTAGCTGGGCGAGGCCCAGCGCGGTTGTTCATGCCTGTAATCCTAGCACTTTTGGAGGCCAAGGTGGGCAGATTGCCTGAGCTCAGGAGATGGAGACCAGCCTAGGCAGCATGGCAAAACCCCACCTCTACTAAAACTACAAAAAATTAGCCAGGCATAGTGGTGTGCACCTGTAGTCCCAGCTACTCAGGAGGCTGAGGCAGGAGAATGGCTTGAACCTGGGAGGCAGAGGTTGCAGTGAGCCAAGATCATGCCACAGTACTCCAGCCTGGGAGAGAGAGCAAGACTCTGTCTCAAAATAAATAAACAAATAAATACAAACAGGATAGGGTAAATCTATATAGGAAATAGAATCCCCAGATCCCCTCTTTCACTCCAAATAATGACTACCCTTTTCCCACCCCAGTATAAGACTGGTTGCTCTCTGAAGAAGCTGCACCATAATGGCTCAGGTCATAGGACATCAGGAAGTGGAAGAAAGGGATATCATACTAAAAATGAAAATCTACATATGAAAAGTGAGAATCTCATTGCCCTTTTTGACATAGCTCCCAAGAATGCTGGCATGCAGGCTGATACTAATATAGGAGTTAAAAATAAATTATTTAGGCAGATAGTGAGTGTACAGGAGTCCTCGGTAAGTCTTTTTTCTTAATAAAAAGCAGCCCCCAAACCATTTCTTTTCTAACAGAAACCTGCCTGAAAAGCCAAGCTGCAAGCATAAATAAGCAAGCTGGAAGCTTGCATAGACGAATACCAACAGCTATACTAAAAGCCAGGTACGCCTAATATGGCAATTCCCCCTCCCTTCTCTTGGTCACCATGCATGTGGGTGTCATGGTGCTGGCCACGTAAAAAACCCCATTTACATAATAAAAGATTAAGGTGGGATGGCCAGTTTCTTCTTGGGCTATGTAAATGGCACATCTGGTCAAACCAATCCCCTGGGCCCTA
Organism: Homo sapiens; assembly: GCF_000001405.40. Taxonomy (NCBI): domain Eukaryota; kingdom Metazoa; phylum Chordata; class Mammalia; order Primates; family Hominidae; genus Homo; species Homo sapiens. The sequence continues at coordinate 210,213,411 of NC_000001.11, forward strand.
TATAAATCAGATATCACCTCCTCAAGCCTCCCTATATAACCTACTGCTTCCTGCCAAGGGTGGGGTTTTCCATTCAGAGCCCTTCCTCTGCATAGGGGAGCTGTTGTCTTCTTTCCTGCCTATTAAACTTTCCGCTTGTTAACCCACTCTATGTGCGTGTGCCCGTGTCATTAATCCTCTCGGCACGAGATGATGAACCTCGGGTATTTCCCCAGACAACAAAGCTGCTTTGATACCTCCAAGTGGTTTGGAAGATTTCTGTCTGGGTCAGTTGACCAACCCAAGAGGAAAGATTCACAGACACTCACGTCGGAGGGCACTATGACGCTGTCCAGCCCAGCCACCCTGTGATGGTGGTCATCACTCCAAAAGCCCCCACCACTCACACAAATGTTCCATCCAACTTTTTAGTGCCTCACTTTGAAATTAAATATGCAATAATGGAGAAAGATTGTGAAATAAAATTAAGTTAATCTCCTGGGGGGAAAAAAGACAGAGATGGAAAATGGGAGATAAAATTTAGAAAATTAGAGAACCATTGTAGACTATCCATATAATAGGAATTCCAGAAAGAATGAGTAGGGAAAATGAAGGGAGGGTGTTTTTAAAGAAATAATTCAAGGGAATGTCCTAAATCCAGTGACATAAGTTTTCAGATTATGCCCAGCACGACACCAAGACACATATGAAAACCATGCCAAGACACATCATGAAATTTTAGAACCCCTAAAATAAAGAGAAGACCCTAAAAGCCTTGAAATTTTTTTTGTAAAAATATCATGTACAATGGATTAGAACTCCGATTAGCATCAAATTAATCAATACCTAACAATGGAAACTAGAAAAAAATTAACAGTATTCAAGATTCTGAGGGAAATTATTTTCAACCCAGAATTGTCTACCTGGCCAAGCATTCAATTAAACAAAGGGATAGAATAAAAACATTTTCAGATGTGCAAAGTGTATCAGTGAGACTCCAGTTAGTATTCTGATACAGGGAAAATTTAATATGAAGAATTATTACTTAGGAAAAAAATGATTTTTTGAGAGAGGGTCTCACTCTGTTTCCCAAGCTGCAATGCAATGGTGGGATCACAGGTCACTGCAGCCTCGACCTCCCAGGCTCAAGTGATCCTCCCACCTCAGTCTCCCAAGTAGCTGGGACTACAGTCATAAGCCACTGCACCTGGCTAATTTTTTTATTTTTTGTCGAGATGGGGTCTCACTATGTTGGGCAGGCTGGCCTCAAACTTCTGAGCTCAAGTGATCCTCTCACCTTGGCCTCCCAAAGGAGGCTGGAATTACAGGCATGAATCACCATGCTCAGCTAGTAAAAGATGATTAATTACTAAAAGATGTAAAATAAAGCCCTAAAGAAGACAGGAATACCAACTGTAGGGAATGACTACTTCCTTTAAGGCTGAGGCAAAGTACCCATAATCAAGGAAGAAATAAGCTCAGGGGCCTGTAAAGGCTGAGATTCAGACCTCATTGTAGAGGGTGTGGCTGAGGCCCATGTAATAGTGGAGAAGTTCACTGGGGTACCCTGGACCAAAGCTGATCCATAGGAAGCTGTCCACTGGGGTGTGCCAATAAGAGCCAGTGTGCAGGAGGCCACCCGCTAAAGGAAGCTAGGGCTGGCTCATGAGAAGTAGCCTGCTGGAGAGCTGGAGGAACTTACTGGAAGTTGAGTGGAGAAACTTGTTTGACGGCAAGTGCCACTGAGCCCCCTGCACATCTGTTGCAACTGCACATGAGAACTTGGAAGAGAAGCCCTTTTATCTGCCATGCCTTGCAGTGTTTTTCCAGGGCCCTCTGTTGACAAAGCCTAACGTTGCTCCAGCTGGCAAAGGAGAAATGTTTATAGGGTCCAGTATCATAAAGAAGCACAATAGAGCTGAGATGCAATAAATTAATAACTGGTACACAAAGTCTCAGAAAATCTACTTCCTTTGTGCCTTTCCCTGGAAAGTGACTCAAAAATGATCCACCAAAAGGAAGTAAACTAGGAAAGAACAATATATGAGATCCAAGAAACAAGAGATAGAGGATCCCAAGAACGAGGAAAAGTGAATCCCAGGATGATGACAATGGAAGATCCAGGATGACAGTGGACGCAGCAGGACTAGTGAGCAACCAGTATCTCTGACTGGAGCAAGAAAAGAGATGACTCCAGGAGGGATGACTCAAAAGAGACTGTGTGTGTGTGTATGTGTGTGTGTGTGTGTGTGTGCGCGCGCGCGCGCGCGCGTGTCTGTGCAGAAGGAAGAAATAGAGTAGGGAGGAGGAGGAGGGAAAAGAAGAAAGAGCAGGAGAAATAAAAAAGGAAGAAAAGAAAAAAGAATATGTTTGAACACATTGAAAGGAGTTTTATGCTCTATCAGTGAATTAATGATAGATATACAGAAAATTAAGTGAACAAGAAACTGACAATTATTAATCCCAGATGAAAAAAAGGGTTTACAAAAAAATGTATAATTGTAGTTCACTACATGTCTCGTTGTGAAAAATATTTACACAGTCTTAAAAATTCAATGAATATTCAACTGATCAAAAATCATGATACAACTATATTAGGAAGATGAAGTGAGAATAGGAGAAGAATTGGGAGGTATAAGAGAACGGAAGCCTCATCTTACCTAGCAGGAAGACAATAATAGACGATAACCAACATGTAAAAATATAAGAAAGTAACATTACAAAAATGTTATTTAAAAACATGAAGGTGACTACCAAAAGAAAGACCAAAATGTGTCCTACATGGTTGTTTCTGGATAGCAGTAATTGAGGGTAAGGTGAAGTGGGATGGAAATTGTTGGTTTAAGTTATAAGAATTATAGAATTTAAACATTTTTAACTATGCATATGGATATCTTCAATAAAAATTGAGGAAAAAATAAGAAGAGAATTTATTTCTTAAGTTTGAATTGGAACTTAGGTCTGCGTTAAACACATTTCTTTAATTTATTTCAATTAAAGATTGGTCCAAGGGCATACTTCCCTGCTTTGGACATATTCTCAGAAGCATAAAGTCTTTGGCAGTAAGGATGCTCCCCCCAAATTATGTGAGGAGCAAAACCACAGTGTGCCAGGGGGAGTGAGAAACTACAGTGTAAGCATGGCCTGTCTCTAGAGGAGTCAATTTTATCCAAGGCTAATCGTGGAAAGCTTCTTTTCTTGTCTTAGAAAACATAGAAGGCCAGGTGCTGTGGTGCATGCCTGTAATCCCAGCATTTTGGGAGTTTGAGGTGGATGGATCACTTGAGCCCAAGAGTTCAAAACCAGCCTGGCCAACCTGGTGAAACCCTGTCTCTACCAAAACAAACTAACAAACAAACAAACAAAAGAAAACCAAAAATTAGCTGGGAGTGGTGGTGCATGCCTGTAGTCCCAGATACTCCAGAGGCTAAGGTGGGAGGATTGCTTGAGCCTGGGGAGGTCAAGGCTGCAGTGAGCCATGATCATGCCACAGCACTCCAGCCTGGGCAACAGAGTGAGACCCTGTCAAAAAAAAAAAAAGAAGGAAGGAAGGAAGGAAGGAAAGAAAGAAAGGAAGGAAGGAAGGAAAGAAAGAAAGAAAGAAAGAAAGAAAGAAAGAAAGAAAGAAAGAAAGAAAGAAAGAAAGAAAGAAAGAGAAAGAAAGAAGGAAAGAAGGAAAGAAAGAAAGAAAGAAAAAAGAAAGACAAGAAAGAAAGAAAGAAAGAAGGAAAGAAAGAAAGCGAGAAAGAAAGAAAGAAAGAAAAAGAAAAGAAAAAAGAAAAAGATAAAAAAGGATAAAGAAAAAACATATCTAGGTTATGGAAGACAGTGGGGCTTTAAAGAAGGAAAGAAATTTGGATTAATTTTGCTGCTAAGTTAATGGTTACACTGACATCAGAACTTTTCAGATGTTGTTTCCTCTCAAGAAGTGCAAGCCCCTCTAGCTTTTCACAGGTATATTACCTTCCAATTCGGTTCTTCAAGTATGTATGGAACACTTAATGTATGTGTTATGGGTTGAATTGTGCTCCCCCAATATTTATATGTTAAAGTCCCAACCCCTAGTGTCTCAGAATGTGACCTTCTTTAGAAATAAGTTCACGGCAGATATAATTAGTTAAGATGAAGTCTTCAGGATGGACCCTAATTCAAAAATATTGGTGTCTTTACAAAAAGGGAAAATTTGGACACACACACACAGACAATGCCATGGGAAGCTGAAGGCAAAGATGAAGGCAGAGATGGAGATGATGCTTCTACAAGCCAAGGAACACCAGGGATCGCCTGCAAACCACCGGAAACTAAGGGAATGGTAGGGAACAGCCTCTTTCTCACAGTCCCCGGAAGAAACCAACCCTGCCAACACCTTGATCTCAGGCTTCTAACTTCCAGAACTATGAAACAATACATTTCTGTTATTTAAGCCACCTAGTTTGTAGTACTTCATTATAGCAACCCCAGAAAACTAATACGGTGTTTAATGTGCTTTTTCTATTAAGTGGTGGTCTAGTCCCCAGATTTTCTTTTTGTTGTAAATATTATCCAGAGAGTCAATGTACTTATAAATATCTTCTCAACATATTTATATCATCAATTGAATTAAATTCTTCTTTTAAGCTACATTTGTATAGTTATGAATGAAAAGTTGTTGGGGGAGATAGCAGAGAAAGAAAATGTGATTACTGATTTCTTTAGACTGAATAAATAAATTTACTTTTCTGTCAGAGGGTGGAAGGGATAAGACTAAGACTTTCCAGTTGCATTACTTATTTGATTTTCTAACTAATTCAAGTCCTTTCAGTTTAGATTTGGTTTGTATGTTTTCTTAAAAGATGAGTCAATGCACATAGTTGTGTATACATTCCTTAGGATCTATATACTGTAAGGCAAGAACGTTTCCATTTAAAACGTTCCTTGCAGTAAGGCCCAGTGGCTCACGCCTGTAATCACAGCACTTTGGGAGGCTGAGGTGGGCAGATTACTTGAGGCCAGGAGTTCGAGACCAACCTGGCCAACATGGTGAAACCTCACTTCTACTAAAAATAGAGAAATTAGCCAGGTGTAGTGGTGCTCACCTGTGATCCCAGCTACTTGGGAGGCTAAGGCATGAGAATCACTTGAACCTGGGAGGCAGAGATTGCAGTGAGTTGAGATCATGCCACTGTGCTCCAACCTGGGCAACAGAGTGAGACTGTCTCAAAAAATGACAAGAAAAAGAAGAAAAAGTAAATTGTTCCCTGCTGGCAAACTATTGAGGGTCTGAACTAGACGACACTGTCCTAAAACCTATGTATTACACAGAAGTTCAATTGATTTAGGGATCTGTAAAAACAAATAGCATTGACAATTTTTACCTAACACAGATGTTTTAATCAATGGTGTGTATGTGTCTTGATGCACAATTAACCACAAATGTCTCCAGAAGATACATGCTATTTCAATGTGCACATGGGGAGTATCTCTAGAATAAGGACCTGAAAAAGTCCTATTGTTCTTCATCTTGTTAAAAACTTCAATTCTGGCACTTTATGCATTCATAGTAGAATTGAGAATCGTGATATAGCTATGCTGATAATTCAAGTTAAAAACACATTTTCTTTGATTATCTAGATGTTGCAGGCAAATGTAAGAACTTATTAGCATGAATTATTATCCAGAGAATTGGCTCAATTTTCCATTTCACTTTGCTCATGTAAGCATGGTCTAAATCATTAAGTGAGAAATATTCTTAGCAATGAACTGCATTTAAAACTCTGGTAAAAAGTCATTTTTATCTAATGGCCAAATGTAACAAATATAATAACAGCGATTTCTTATACTTATAGGGTTGACACTGGTGAGATGTCACCATCAAGGGATTTGATGGAGATTATAAAATTTAGAACTCATGGGTCCTAGTTCAGTGTTCTTTCCACTACTGCAAGGTTCTTTTTTTTTTTTTTTTTTTTTTGAGACAGGGAGTGCAGTGGTGCCATCAAAATTCATTGCAGCCTCGGCCTTCTGGGCTCAAGTGATCCTCCTACCTCAGCCTCCCAAGTAGCTGGGACTACAGGCACATAACACCACTCCTGGCTAATTTTTTAAAATTAATTTTTTGTAGACACGGGGTCTCACTTTGTTGCCCAGGCTGTACTTCAGGGGTTCTTAGCCTTTTATATGCCATGAGCCTCCCTAGGAATTGGCAGAAGCATTTGGACACCTTCTTAGAAAAATGTTTTCAAATGTATTTCTAAAACATCATGGGATTATACAGAAAACCAATTATATTCAAATGTAATTATCAAAATATTTTAAAATTTGTGACACTGTCGTACCTGTGCCTCTTTATTAACATATTAAATATCAAGAAACAGTAGCAATTCTAATAAATGTCATAATTTCAAAGTAGTGACAAGTATAAACAATAATTCAAGGTGTTTACAACAATTGTGACATGCAAATAACTGTGATTTCTGTTGGTAACAAAGTCACTGATATTGCTACATATAAGACATTGGGAGTTACCAGTAACCAGTAATCCAAACAGGATGTGGCATTAGAGTTTTGAATTGAGATAATTATTTAATTAATTAACTAATTTTTTTGAGACAGAGTCTCACTCTGTTGCCCAGGCTGGAGTGCAGTGGCATGATGTTGGGTTACTGCAGCCTCAGCCTCCCAGGTTCAAGGGCTTCTCCTGCCTCAGCCTCCAGAGTAGCTGGGATTACAGGCATGTGCCACCATGACCAGCTAATTTTTGTATTCTTACTAGAGACAGGGTTTCACCTGGTCTCGAACTCCTGGCCTCAGGTGATCCCCCTGCCTTGGCCTACCAAAGTGCTGGGATTACAGGTGTGAGCCACTGCCCCTGGCCGAGATAATTATTTAATCAGTTGTTGGGTTCTTATGAATGAGACTAAGACCTTGGAGTAGCTCGACATTAAACCAGGTGCAGGGGCAGAGGGGTGCTGTCATCGAAAGGTCTAAAACCCAATCTGAGTTATATGCATCCCAGAGCCAGGAAAGCTCTATAAGTTATATTGCAATGACATTCATTCATTCAACAATTACCTTCTGGGAACCAGGAACTGAGTGGACACTTCCTCAGCAACTTGGTCCTATCTTCTGATATTCGAAAGCCAGTCATCAAAAATCCAGAGATCAATGGGAAACAAAATTGCATTAATTCGAGAAAAAGCTATTCCTCTTGATTGGATTGGGTTTCAAGACAGGAACATATATCTTACATCTTGCCATTCCCCTGGTTCTCTCAGTAATCTTGGCCCATTCCCTTTTGTGTGTGTGTGCCAAAATATTTTTATAGACTTTATGTTTTTAGAACAGTTTTAAGTTGACAGAAAAATTGAGAAGATAATACAGAGGGTTCTCTTACCCCCTACACTCAATTTTCCTTATTATTATTATCTTACATTAGTATGGTACATTTGTTACACTTAATGAACTAATATTTATACATTATGATTAAAGTCCTTACTTTATCCAGATTTTTTAGTTTTCGCCGAATGTCTTTTTTTCTGTCCCAGGGATGCTACATTGCTGTCGTCCTGCCTCCTTAGACTCTTAGACTTGTCTTGACTGTGACAATTTCTCAGATTTTCCTTGTTTTTTTTGACCTTGACTGTTTGAAGGAGGACTGGTCAGGTATTTTGTAGAATGTCTCTCAATTGGGATTTGTGTGACGTTTTTGTCATGATTAGACTGAAGTTATGGGTTTTGGGGAGGACTATCGCAGAAGTAAGTTTCTATTTTCAAGACCTCATATCAAGGATACAAGCTATCAACTTGAGTGTGGATGATGACCTTAAGTTATCACTGTTGATGATCAAGTGACTAAGGTAGTGTTTGTCTGGACCCCCTGCAAATTCACTTTTTACATTTATGTAATTAACTATTAAAGAGAAAATAATTCTCACTACACATGATAACCTCGTCCTTTACAGAATCATAGGTCTAGAAGAGATTTTGACAGATTAGTTGGTCCAGTCTCTTGTCCCTGTATTCAAGCCACCCTGCACAGATGAGTTTGTGGTAGGCCTATTTTTAAAGATAGAAAGTGGCTGGGCATGGTAGCTCATGCCTGTAATCTTAACACTTTGGGAGGCTGAGGCAGGCAGATCACTCGAGCCCAGGAGTTTGAGACCAGTGTGGGCAACATAGTGAAACCCCGTCTCTACAAAAAATACAAAAATTGGCCGGGTGAGGTGGAGTGTAACTGTGGTCCTAGATACTCAGGAGACTGAAGCGGGAGGATGACCTGAGCCCAGGAGGTCAAGTCTGCGATGAGCTGTGATTGAGCCACTGCACTCCAGCCTGGGTGACAGTGAGACTCTGTCTCAAAATAATAATAATAAATATAGAAAGGGAAAGGGACTCCACAGTGAAAGAATTCTGAACTCTTGACAAATGAGGTTCTCTGGCTCAATCAATCAATAAATATGCAATGTAGAGTGTTGGAACCATATGCAAGCTGCTTAGATATATGTGTAACTCCAAGGCACTTATACCATCTTAAATCATTTCTGAAACAAGGTGGTGTATGAGTGAAGATACAAATAATTGAAAAAAAGGCAGTATAACACAGTGGGAATCAGTACGAAAAACAGTGCGGTTATAAACACAGTTTTTGGATTCATAATGTCTAAATTTACATTCCAGGTCCACTGAATGAAGGCATGCCACTTTAGATAAGTCACTAAGGCCTTTCTAAGCCTCAGTCTCCTTAGCTATAAAATGGGGATAATCGTACCCATTATTAAAAGTTGTGCAAGTCAAATAACATATCAAAAGCATCTGGCACATAGTAGGTCCTCAATACATTGTAGCTATTGTTATTAAACAGGGAATAATTATATGACCCTGTAATCATTATATTACATGGTATCATAATAGTTACATGGCACTGTAAATTAAATGGAGTGTGTTTTAGGAGGGCTTTCTGCTGAAGGAGTACACACTGTGGATCTTTCTCCTTAGTTTTCTTCCTGCTTCCCAGCTTCCTCCACTCCCTACTTTCTTCCTTGTTTGGTCTCGGATTTCATTACCTCCTCCCTGTTCTCTTAGTGGCTGATGCCTTCAAACCATTCCCCACTGCCAAGCCCTTTTGTTACACTGGCATTTGTCAAGCAGCTGAGTTTCTTAGTGACTGATAAGAACCACTTCTCCCCCAGGTAGTCAGGGAGAGGCAGCGAGCTGGCAAGAGTGGAGAAAATGTTTCTGTGTACAGGACTTGGATTCCTGCGTTTGTTTGTTTTGTTTTAAGTGGTTGCTTTGCTGATCCTATTACTGTAAAGGGTAATGATATTTGGGAATGAAAGTCTATGAATAAGTAATGATAATAGAAGTAAGACCCAGAACTGTGGGATAGAAAGCTGTGTTAAAAATAGTCTGTCATTTTCCACTCTGCCTACTAAGCCTTTTCCTAGACTGAAAGACACAGATCACGCTTCCACGAGCTGAGCCAACACAGCATGGCAGGAGTAAATCCACAACCCAAAGAAAACCGTACTCCTGAGCAAAGCAACTTTCTGCTGTGGTCAAAGCTCATCCACTGGGTTTCTCTGATGGAGGCAATGAAACTTTTCCCCTCAAAGCCTGGTAACCTGAGTTAAAAATGTAAAATGTATTGATTTGAGAGTGGAAACTACAAAATGAGAACACGTTAGGCTTTGCTCTGAGAACTTTATGGTTCTTGAGACAGTTATTCTTAGTTATTTGATTCAATTAAAATGCAGATGTAAGCAAGGTGAACCATAAGGAAATATGATAAGAGACTTTAGCTCAGGATGAAAGTGTAAACCATAGCATCAGAGGCATCATGCATACCATTATCTAGAAGGCTGGTCAAACTGAGGTCCTGCAGCAGCCTCAGCACAAATGGCTGCCAAACCTCGATTCTAGTGAACTAAGAGAAAACAGACAGTGAGGCAAGCAAGGACTTTGTACTCAGAATATTCTGCAGTTCAGGAAGTCCAGATCCTAGGAGTGCAAGCCAAGACATTACAACCGATGTGAGGAATTGCTCTGGTGCCAATCGTGGCCTCAGATTTATCGCTTTAATGGCTAAGGTCACAGGCTAAGGCATTCTCCAGATTCTGCTGTTGAATACAGACACTACCGCCCCTCCTGTCTCCCCACCATCAAACACAAGGAGTCTGGTAGGGCAGAACTGCACAAATGGGAAACACCCATCAAATGCAGCAGGAATATTAACTTCACTAGGAAGCCTTTGTATGCCATTACTTTAGAAAGGATTCCTTGTTAGTCCTACCATTAAACAATTAAATTGTCAGAGATGAATTCTGTGCATGTGTGTGCAGAGCTTGCCTGTGTGTGCAGGATGTGTAATTTCCCACTCAGGTGATGTCTGCTGCAGGTTGTCTTTCTCTCTCTTTCTCTCTCTCTCTCTCTCTCTCTCTGTCCCTTTCCCACCCCAATTGTGTGCTTTTCCCTTTACATTGTTGAAAATAAATACATCTTCCTGATGGTATAAGCTTTTATTATGAACTTTGATATGCCTACACATTCTATACTACACAGAAAGTAGTAATATAAAATGAAATGTTCAAAAATTAATTTGTCTCCAGGTATTTCTCTGCCAGAACATGATTCCTTAGTTCCCCTCTCCTGACACTAGTTATTGATACAGTCGGTTTACTCTACATGCATTCTAAACATGGATGTTATATCAAAAAACTCTAAACCAAGTCAAGGCTAATGCCTACAAACAGGAAGAATGATGAGCAAATGCTGTGTCCCTTATATTTTCATCCTAATTAGGAATTTATGCCTTCATAATACTGGCTTACTTATTCTAGTTCTCTATTGTAAAATGTCTGACCTAGGAAAATCAATGCTTGTGACAAGTACACATATTTCACTTAAACCCAGTAATAATTATTTTAGTCAAGAAAAAGCACACTACCTAAAATAAATTTAATTATATTTAATTCATATAATTAGGGCCACACTTAAATCTCTATACTTTCTTATATAGCTCACATTTTTACTTAATTGGAATATATTCTTGCCCTCGTCAATTACCAAAACTTTTCTTTGAGGTTTCATAATCTTTTAAAAATGCTAAAAACAAAATAGACTAGCTATACACTAAGATGAAAAGACTTTTAGAAATTCCATATGTATAAAGTGAAGGGGCCAGGTGCAGTGGCTCACATCTGTAATCCCAATTCTTTGGGAGTCCAAGAGGGTAGGATTACTTGAGGCCAGGAGTTTAAGGTTACAATGAGCTGTGATCCCACAGTTACATTCCAGCCCAGGTGACAGAGTGAGACCCTGTCTCTAAAAAAATTAAAATAATTAATAACTAATAATTTAAAAAAATAAGGTGAAGAGTAAGCTTAAGAAAATACTCCAATATCTGCAAATCCTCCAGCTCCTAAGAAAACCATGTTGGATTAATTCTCTATGTGCCGGTGCAACTATTAGTCACTTAATAAATGCTCCTTGATTGTGATGACATCGCAGCATCACGAATATATCCCGTGAACGAATATTAAGCCTCATAAAATGTTTAGCCTATCTTTTTTATAACAATGTACAGAAGGGGCAAATAGAGAAGGAAAGGAGTCTTGAAATCAGATTATGAGTAGCTTCAGTTTCTCTCCAGACTGCCTGTTTTTTGGATCTCGTTTTCTTTGGCTTATGATACGGTTTGAATATGCCCCCTCTGAATCTTATGATGAAATGCGACTCTCAATGTTGGGAGTGGGGCAGATTCCTCACTAATGACTTGGTGCCATCCTCATGGTAAAGAGTGAGTTCTCAGTCTGTGAATTCATGTGAGAGCTAGTTATTTACAAGAGCCTGGCACCCCTCCCCTCTCTCGTTTCCTTTCTCTCTATGTGATACAGTTTCCTCCTTTGCCTTCTACCATGATTGTAAGCTCCCTGAGGCCCTCACCAGAAGCAGATGTTGGCACCATGCTTCTTGTATAGCCTGCAGAACTGTGAGCCAAATAAACCTCTCTTCTTCATAAGTTTACCCAGCCACAGGTATCCTTTCATAGCAACACAAACAGACAAACACAGCTTATATCTGTTAGATGTTAGAATGACATCTCTTTACAAATAATTGGTATGGGCCAGGTGTGGTGGCTCATACCTGTAATCCCAGCACTTTGGACCAGCACTTTGGGAGCGGGAGGATCACTGGAAGCCAGGAGTTTGAGACCAGCCTGGGAAACCAAGCAAGACCTCCATCTTTACAAAAAATAAAAAAATAGCCAGGAGTTGTGGTGTGTGTGTGTGTAGTCCCAGCTACTCAGGAGGCTGAGGTGGGAGGATTGCTTGAGCCAAGGAGTTCAAAGCTGCAGTGAGTTTTGCTCACTCTATTGCACTCCAACCTGGGCAATAGAGTGACACCCTATTTCTATTTTTTTTCAATTAAAAAAGGATTGATATGTTTACTGAAACCACTCCTATCTATTTACTGATATAGGTTTTCCAAAATATTACCTTGAGCAAGGGACTCTCTCTCTATACATATGCATACATATATAAATATATAGTGACTTCCATTCAGAAATAATACTCATTAGCTTGTATTACGTCTGAAATCATGTCATTAGTTATTAATTGCTTTGATTAAAGTTTTTGTAGCATTATGAGACTCCTATTAAAATACAAATGTCCCTGAGAGAGATAACACTCCAAGCTCACTGTCAGTGATTTACAACTTTTCAGGAATTATTGCAGGATTATTTATGAAATATCAAATCTCTTTCCATCTGTGATGGCAAATAAGTAAATTCAGCCACATGAGGAAGTCCAGCACATAACTACTTCTGTGTCATGATATCAGGGCAGTTAGAAGGGACTGCCTGCTACCCAAACTCCACCATCCCTTCTCAAATTTTTTATTTTAAATTTTAGCCAAAAGGGTCTTTGTATACTATTAAACACAGATATTCCTGAAACAAGTCACACATTAAGCCCAAAATGTTATTTTTTTCATCTCTGAGCAAATGTATTTATCAGATTCTTGAAGATGCTGACTGAAACCCTTTACTGTTTAATTCTCTGAAATGTCTTCAGTAATTTTATGAAGTCCTAAAACTTCAACCTTTATGTTTATTGAAATAATCACAATTTTTTGTAATTTGCTCTCATATTATGTCCACACCTAGACTGGAATATTCAGCTAACTAGTGGACATCCCTGTCTACACTTCATACTCAAAATACCCAGAACCAACACATGCTATTCTCTTCATACCTGCTTCTCATTTGTTACAGGTTTCCTTAGCCACACAGTAGTAGTAACGTCACTCAAGTAGTAATGTCGGAGTCATCTTTCCTTCTTCTCTTCCCCACAGTCAGTGATTACATCCTGAGGATTCCAACTCAGTGATACCTTGCACTTGAAGGGGCTCTCATTCAGAGGCCCCCTATCTCATGCAGACCTTCACTTTTCCTCCCTAGACTGCCAAAAGAGCTTCTTACTCACAATTCCCAGCACCGCTCCCCACTGCACGTTACTCTTCCTAAAGCTTAGCTTCAATCATATCATTCTCCAGTTTGAAAACTGTAATGTTTCCCATTGCTTATTAAATTCAGATCAAACTCATCTTGCTTTTCAGTGTATATTATGATACACTGAATTATGTATATTCGTAATACAATATTAATAGCATAATATATTATCATACACTGTATTATGTAATATACACTGTATTATCATACACAATATTATGATACACTATATTATGATACACTTTTACTTTCATGTACCCACTAGTAAAACCGGAACACTCACTCCTCTCAAAGATTCCCTTTGCTTTCCAGCCTACGTGCCTTTCCTCAAATTGTTTCCTCCACATTTCACTCATTCCCCATTTCCAGCCATTGAGAGCTACCTATCTTCAAGGTCAACTTCAGGTTTTACTTTCTTCACTACGTCTTTCTGGCTTTCCCAGCTGGATGTGATCGTCTCATCGTGGAACTCCCATGGCCACTGCTGTGCCCCGACTTACTAAATAGTGCCATCATGCCTATGCTTGCCTTATGCTACTCACTGTATTGACAATCCATAAGTCTAGGAATAGTGTCTTATTAATCTCTACTTCACCTGCAGTGCCTAGATCTATTCTTGCATGTAAAATGCACTTAATTATTGAAGTATTTTTGAATGAGTTTTGAAGGAGGATAAGAAAGAAAGTGGAGGAACTCTGAAAGGGTAGCTATGCCAAGAAATGATATCCTAGGCTCCTGGAGAGCAATTTTACACACTTTATTATCTTGTATAAGACTGTAGCTTAGCACAAGCATCTTGGCAATGAAGAAAATCTGTGTTGGGGGCAAGGCAGGCTGGTCCAGAGCACCAGCATCCACATGGATAAAATCTAGTACTGGGACTCTCAGGCAGGGAGGGCAGCATGAAACCACTGGGTCCCGGGAATCTTGGTAGTATCTTCAGGTCCTGGAAAGCTGCAGGGCAGATGGCAGCTCTAGGCCAGAGGATTCTGGGAGGCAAATGAGGTAATAAAACTAACTGCCTGTTTATCCATTCTACATCCACTAGATTAGACTAGCACTATTTTAGCCTTGTTTGGGTTCTGTATATACGTGAAACTGTCAGTCAGTTGTTCAAACAATCATTATATATTTATTGAGTGCTTTCAGTATGCCAAGTACTTGTACTGTGCTAGGTGCTGAAGATACGGGGGCTAACAAAAAAGACAAAAATCCCTCCCCTTATGGACATTACTTTCTAGTGGAAGAAGAGAAGTGATACATTGAACACATGCATAACAGATTAGAAGGTGATCTTTATTTTATCCTCTGGATGAAAATCAAGCAGGCTATAAAGGTGAAGTGTTAGAATTTCAAGCATAGTGGTCAGGGCTTATTAAAAAGATGATACTTGAGCTGGGATGTGGAAGAGGTGGACATGTATCTGTGCAGCTATCTGAGGAAAGAGCACAAAAGGAAGAGGGAATAGCCAGTGCAAATGTCCTGAGGACAGCAAAGCTGGCTGTTAGAGGAACAGAAAGGAGGCCAGAGTGGCTGGAGTTGTTGGAGGCAGAGTGAGATCAGAGAAATAAAGAGAGACTTCTAGTCTTTGCAGGCTATTACAAGAACATGGCTTTTATTTTGAATGGGGAGCTCTAGGAAGAGCCTTGGCAAAAATTGACACCATTGCTGTTGACCCGAGATTGAACTAGAAAGAGGGCCAAAGATGTAAGCAGGAAGACCAGTTAGGAGGCCATTGTCATATCCTAGGCAGAAGATCATGATGAAAGCGTGGACCAGAATGGTGGTGGTAGAGATAATGAGAAGTGATCAGAGTCAAGAAATTTTTTTTTTTTTTTTTGAGATGGAGTCTCACTCTGTCACCCATGCTGGAGTGCAGTGGTGCGATCTTGGCTCACTGCAACTTCCGCCTCCCAGGTTCAAGAGATTCTCCTGACTCAGCCTCCCAAGTAGCTGGGACAACGGGTGCATGCCACCATGCCTGACTACTTTTTTTTTTGTACTTTTAATAGAGAGGGGGTTTCATGATGTTAGCCAGGATGGTCTCAATCTCCTGACCTCGTGATTCACCCCCCTCGGTCTCCCAAAGTGCTGGGATTACAGGCATGAGCAACCGCGCCTGGCCGAGTCAAGAAAAAATTTAAAGGTAGCCTCTCAAGGACTTTCTGATATATTAGATAAAGGAGATGAAGTAAAAAAAATCAATGATGACTCTAAGGAGTTTTGTCAGAGCAAGTAGAAAAATACTGTTGTTTATTGAAGGAGACTATTAAAGGTGGCATAGGTTGGGAAAGCAGAGATAATAGGGGTTGAGTTTTGGGTCTGTAAAGCTTGTGATACCCATTAGGCATCTACACAGAGTCTGGAAGTCAGAAGAGAGTCTTGGCTACAGATATGAATTTGGGAGTCATCAGAATATAGAGAGTTTTGAAGGGAAGAGACTAGATGAGATCCACAAGAGAGTGACTGTAGAGAAGAGACAAGGTGCAAGGACTGAGCTTGAGGCAACCCAACATCCAGAGGTCCTAGATAAGAGGGGGAACCAGCAAAGGAGACTGAGAGGAACAACCAGTGAGGCAGGAGGCAAATCAGGTGGATGTGTTGTCCCAGGAGCCAAGATAAAGGCGTTTAAAGGAGGAGGGAGTGGGCAACTGGGTCAAATGCTGCTTAAGGGTCAAGTTAGATGCAAAATGGCCTTTGGATTTAACAACGTGGAGGTCAGTGGTGACATTGACCAGAACAGTTTCAATGGAGTGATCGGATAAGAAAGCCTCAGTGGAAAAGGTTTGAGAATAGAAGAGGAATTGGGTGCAGATGCTTCTTTTTGCCATTAAAAAAATGTTTTTTTTTTTTTTATTGTTGCTGTTTGTTTTTTTGATGGATTCTTGCTCTGTTGCACCCAGGCTGGAGTGCAGTGGTGCGATCTTGGCTCACTGCAACCTCTGCCTCCTGGGTTCAAGCTATTCTCCTGCCTCAGCCTCCTGAGTAGCTGGATTACAGGCGCCTGCCACCATGCTCAGCTAATTTTTTGTATTTTTAGTAGAGGCGGGGTTTCGCCGTGTTGGTCAGGCTGGTCTCAAACTCCTGACCTCAGGTGATCCACCCGCCTTGGCCTCCCAAAGTGCTGGGATTATAGGCGTGAGCCACCGTACCCAGCCAAAAATGGTCTATTTTTTTAAGCCAGTAATTTTAACTTTCAATTAATCCAAGTGGGTATTGTGTCCACAACAATCTGAATAAGTCAAATTTTACTTGTGAAATCCCCCTATCAGACAAATGACAAAAAGGTTTTGTGAAATGGGTTTCAGCAATTTTAAGTCTGAAAGTCTCTTTGTTAAACAAAGGAAAACAACCACTGCCTTCAGTAAATTTGCAGCTCAAAGTATTATAAGTTTTATAATCAAACTTCTATTTGGAGCTTCTCACACACACACACACATACACACACACACACACCCCAAAATGATGACATCATAGTTGTCAATTAAATATTGTACCTCATTATAAATAACAATTACTCATTCCAAATTTTTCATTATTGATTTATAGTTGGTTCTTTTTTCATGCCATAGCTACCACATAGTCACCTTAAATTTGTAATGAGGTTTCTCATTCCATAGACATTTGTCTGCCTCTTGTACTTGTAGACACAGGTTCATGTTGTCAACAGTTGGGTATTGAATCTCAAAAAACATTAAGCTTAGGATTAAAGGTAGGGCAGGGAAAGCTGTCAGTAAAACATGCTAACCTAATGTATCTGATGAGGACAGGGTCTAGTTCATACTCAGAACTGCAAGGATGCTGTGAAGTACAATGATTTGATACTTGTGATACCATTTTGTTGTAACATTAAAGCCAAGAGTCTTCTCCACCCAAGGGCAATGCCAGTTTCCCAGAAGGCTCATTTCTCCGAGCCAAAGCTCCAAAGATGCCAGTGCACCCATGCTGATAACTTAGTCTCATGTTATTTCTCAATTTTATGCTTAATTTGCTCCTTTTGATTTTATGTATTTTCACACAGCCAAGTGTACATGGGGATTTACCCATAGTCCTTTAAATGCCATAAAACTTTAATATAGGGAGATAAAAACCATAATAAGCCATGCCTCCAAACCCTCACATTTAGTTCTTTTGAGTTTGACAATAACCAGTTTTAGATTATTTGGAAATTTGGATTTCTACGTACTTGCACTGCTTTAAATGCCCTTGTGCCTTTCCTAACCCTCCTCTCCCACCCAGATGAAAATTATACTCTACTCTTAACCTGGACATGCAACTTCCATTGACTGCACAAAATGGCATCTTTACAATTCTTAAATTATCATCATAATGGCCCACATCATGCATGAGCCAATGCAATTTAATATGGTTCAGAATAAAGCCAAGATGGATGCCCAATTCCCAATTTTAGGCATGCAACCCTGGAATGTCTTTTGGAAAAAATGAAATAATGCTCTTGGTAGGCTGTTGGGTTCATCTGTTTTAAGCATAATTGCCATCTCTCAGCTTCCTAATACCCTTAAAACCTCTGAGAGTCTTTAATGTACAAAGTTCAACAAAAACACCTTCAAAACAAATTAGTTCTAATTATGTTTAATATTGGTTTGCTGCTTTATTGAATAATCTACATTTGCTTTTAAAAAAAGGAAATTCACTTAACTGCATGTCAGTCACCCAAGTTTTAAGTGTACAAATGAAATGGAAAACATTTATTACACAAATTTAATTACAATTCTAAGAAATAAACATGCAAATTAGATAGAGTTCAATTTGCAGATGCTAATCCTCATCCTTGATCTTGTTCCTTCCTCCCTTGATTTTCAGTCTGTGCGTCTTCTTGATTCCTAGGGAGCCAGGCAGCCAGAGGTCTGGTTTTTCACAGTCGGAGGATCACTGTTTTAAAGAAGTGTTATATTTAGCACATCTGGTATAGTGGCAGTAAACAAACATTATAGTCTTTGTAACACTTTTGTGCAGGTGCCTTCTCCCGATTTTATTAGGTCTATGCCTTCCAAGCCTCTGCCTTCATTACACCTGAAATGACCCATCTCGACTATGGAGGGGTCCCTAGACAGAAGTTATGAATTAATGATTTTAAAAAATAAACTCTGAGGCCACTATAGGAGAAAATTACTATTTGCAAAATATTCTGATTCCAAGGCTTAAATTACATTCTCTTGAGCAAGGACAATCTCTTGTATTACTTTTTATTTCCTGGAGGTTTTCCCTGGAGGCTCCCCACCCAGAAAGGGTTGCCAATTCAAGTTGCAGCAGGACCAAGGTTGCTTTTTTTTTTTTTTTTAATACGTACGCAGCTCAGGAGGGAAACGGGCGGGGGCGGGCGGCGAGGGAGAATAACTGTTTGGTCCTGCAAAGACATCTGTTTCTCATCTCCGTTTGCTGTGGCAAAGGAGAAGAAAGTCTTTTGCAAAGGGTGGGAAAGGCACAGATTTTTTTTTTAATCACACGCACACACAACAACAACAAAACTAAACCAAATTTAAAAAGACAAGATATCTCGGAAGGTTCCAGAGTGAATACATTATTCGGCTGGAGCCAAGCCCCCAGGGCTAGGGCGGGAGCCCGAGAGCGCGTGGGGTCTGGGCTGCGGGCTGGAGCTGGGCCCGCGTGTCCCCGGGCACCGGGAGGGGAGGGGAGGAAAAGGAGGAGGGAGGGCGGGAAGCAGGGAAGGAGGCAGGGGGCGGGCTGGGGTGGGGGTGCGGGAAAGGCGCCCCGTGTGCAGCCTGAGGAGCGGCGGCGGCGGCCTGAGCAGAGGGAGGGAGGGAGAGCGGGCGCGCTTGTCATGTTCCCTCTCTCACCCTGGGGGCATCCTGCAGAACCTCTCCTCGGAAATCCACGGGGAAATGGCAAACAGGATTGACGGGTTTCACACGCTCCTCGCTAGACAGAGCCGCTCATTACCATAACCGTCTGCAGCGACGGCGGCGCAGCGCCCCAGTCGCGGCGGCGGGACCTGCCGGGACCCTTGCCCGCCGCGCACCCGCAGTCACCGCCGAGCGGGCGGCCGGGCCGGGACCCGCGAGTGTGCACCGGCGGCCGGGCTGGCGCCGAGCCCAGAGCGGACCAGCAGCAGCTCAAGCGCTGCGGCCGCCGCCTCCCCGCTGACCCCGCGGTAAGAGCCGGGCTGGGCGCGGGCCGCGGGGGCGGGAGGGCCGGGCAGGGTGGAGGGCGAGGGCCCCCCGGGGCTCCTGCCCTCGCAGACGGGCACCCACGCGGCCTCCCGCGCGCCCTCTTGGCACCAGGGCTGTGCCGAGGTCACCGAGTGGACTCGCAGCGGCCGGAGCGGAGTCGGGGCGGCGTGGGGGCCAAGGCACAGCTGGGCGCGGAGGCGGCGCGGGCTTTTCCCTGGGCTAGCGTGCGCCGCGGCGCCTTCACCAGGGCGGGAACCGCCGCCTCCTCTAGGGCTGCTCGGGCTGCCACCCGCGCGCACCGAGACAACTCCAGGGGCGGGTGGGGTCAGAAGCTCTGGTGAGACCTCATGGTCCTCCGTGGCCGCTTAGTCCCTCATCGTAGGGGAAGGGGTTAAGTAGGAGGGGTGCCCCCAGGTCCGGATGCCGCGGCGCTTGGCAGGTGGGGAGAGAGGGATTGTGGATGTCAGGAGCGCGCGTTTGCAAGAAAAAGGAATTGATGCAGTAGCTGACACCTTCTGTCCCCCGCCACCTCCGCCCCCGCACCCTCCTCCCAGGCAGCAGAGCTGCGCTGCGGGCGGCGGCGGCTCCTCTGTCCTCAGCTCACCTCCTCGGCGGGCTGAGGCTGCTGCCCGCCTGGTCCACGCCTCCGCCTCTCGCTTCCCTTCCTCCCCTCCCGCCTCTTCGGCCCTAGCAACTTTCCGAGTGCCCAGCTGTGGTCGCAGAAGCAGGGAATAGGCGTCCTCGCCGCCAGGTCCCACGGGCGCAGGGCGCTCCCGCAACCGCGGGCTTCCAGCGGGTTTGGCCGGCAAGGGAGGGAGGGAAGGCCGGGCCGACATCTGCTGCGGGCTGGAGCGCGGGGGCCCGGGCCAGCCCCGCCAGAGCCCTGCCAGCCGCTGTGAGTCATTTCCTTGGAATCCTACCTTTGGTGTTTATTTCCCTTAGAAGGAAACTTGGTTTTTTTTTTAAAAAAAAAAAAGGATAAGACATAAAGAATAATAATAGCTCTTATTCTTCAGAAGAGGCACACGGCTGCGGCACCGTAGAAAGACAACTTGCCTTTGTTCCCGGACACTTGGGGTGTTGTTTACTTTCTCCTGCGGCCAGCGGCCGACCGGGCGCTGCTGGCTACCCGGGGAGGGGCTGAGGGCTGCGGCACCGACACCCCGGGGGTGTGTCTGTGCGGGAGCCAGGATGTGGTTGGTGGCTGCCGCCCGCCTTCAAGAGGTCGGCCCTCCAAACCTCGGACCCCACCCCCGCAACCGCCACACACACACACACCTTGGGCACCAGGGCTCGGGCATCGGAGCACCCCTTCGTGCTCTTTAGGCCCAGCACCTGCAGCCCCAACCACAGGACCCAGCTTCAAGCTCTTGGCCTCGCGGGGCTGCAGCTGAGAAATGTACTTCCCAGGGCAGACAGGTGTACTGCAGGAACGGCAGAAAAGCGACATCTGTTTGTTTAGAAGGGTTGAAGAATTTTGTTCCGCCCATCCAGTCCCTTCCACTACCACCACCAGGAGCCGGACAAGCTATTGAGATCATTTTGGGACAATGTGGAGGTCAGGGGCTTGATGCCATTTAAAACTGGCAGCATCGATCGGGGGTGGAAATAGCCCTTTACTTCCCTGCTTTCCAGTGCTGGAATCAGACTGCTAACTGCTATAATGATCTTAATCAAATGCTCTCCAATTTTCAATGACAGATGGAAGAAGAAGTGAGCAAAGAATGACCTGGAGCCCCTTGTTAGATTCAAGGTGCCGCTGAATTCATAGCTACCCTGTTTTGTGTGCCAGCCACTCCTATTAGCATCATAATTGCTTCTAGGAAAGAACAAGCCCAACTCATCTGGAAAAAAACAAATTGTATAGAAATGCCTGGTAACTTTACTACGAACATTTGCTGGAAAAGCTTGGCATTCTAGCCCTCAGTCTTCTGGGGATGCTGGAAGTGTCATTCCACTACATCCACCTGGGTGTCAAAACAGACATTCAGGAGCCTGAGGATGAAGGGTTAGGGCTTTTTTTTTTCTTATCTTTTAAACCCATGCATAGACAAAACACACTCTAACACCCTCCTGTTGAATCCATCACCTCTGATCTTAGAAAATAAATTTTGCCATAATGTATATCCTTTTCTTTATTTAATATTAATAGAACACGAATTTGTGGACTTGAATTGCTGACGTCAGTAGCAGAATTATAAATCTTATCAGACAGAGAATTATGACAGTTTAGATCTCTACATATAATACGAAGAAAGATTCACGTTAAGCATTTGTGCTTAACGCTGCCCTGTCCAATTTTTCGTGAACATTCAACTTGCCTTCTTAATTTGTTAACATCCAGTGTAAGTTTTAAATAGACTAGGAAGACTCAATTGCAAAATCTCCTCCCCGCTCCCAAATAATCCCAACTCATTCATGTTTTATTCAGATTTACATAAATCACTTGCAGAACTCAGCCTCTCTAGTTTAGGGTTTTGTGTGTAACAGTTCTCAATTTAAAAAAGAAAAACTTAGTAAAATTAGATATTGTGAACAAAATAATAGCCAAGATAAATACTGTTATGCCATGTTTCAAGTTCACGTGCATAATAGGATATGCTGGAAATAATGCTAACAAATAGAAACGCTGAAATTCCTCACAACCAAAAAAGGTACTACCAAAAAGTTATTAAAATATAAACAAACTCTGACAAACATAAAACAGCACAGGGCCCATATAATGTCCTGTTAAACAAAAGTAATTGCTGCCAGGAGCCTGCAAATGTTTTTCTTTCTTAAGGGGCATGAGTTTGACAACCTGCTTTTGTTTACATGAAATAAAAGTCTGCATAGGCAAAAGGCTTGCATCTTATTCCCATGATCTAACACAAAAGTGAGTGTAAACTTCAAACTAGAAAATGTTGATTCTCTCAATAAGAAAGGGCTGCTGACTGTTGAAAAGCTGTAATTCATGTGCTCTTGGCAATAGTATTTCCTGATATGATTGTCTCTTAGAATAGGTGAAGAAACTGGACAATTTCATGAGAGTCTTCCAGGGAATAAATCATCATGAAGTTTGATACCCTACTTGGATGAGGAGTTTGAGAAATGATAGACAGAAGGACTTAATTTGTTAAATCAATGTAGGCTAAATTTCTTTGTTGATGACTCAAAGAGAAAAATAAATGACATGTCCCATCGTTTCTTTGTAAAGATTTAATCGAACCTTTCTTTTGCCCACTTGTTTTAAGGTTTACTAATAAGTCCGTACTGATGTCTCTTTGGAGGGCATCTTAAAAGAGAACGGGGAGGTGTTGTAGCAGCCCAAACCAGCTGAGTCCTAATTCTCTCCACTGACCTGTACACCTTCCCTGTCTGTCAAAAGATCTTGCTTCATTATTCAGTGTGGTTGGGACAGAATTTGAGACCTCAGAGAGAAGACTGGGTGAAAGGTAGAGTCATTGCTGCCAAGAGCTGCTCTTTTAGCCAGAAGGACATTGTCACTTTAATGATGCTATTTCGCCTTACCCTGGTGTTTTTCCTCTTTTTCCTTGGAAGTGGACCCTTGTTATAGCATGTAGGTAATAATAGTCTCCCACGAGACAATGGTAGATTCACTCTTTCCCAGAAACATTACAAGCTGTATAATTTGGAAAAGAAAGCAAGAACTGGGCCCTTAGTTTATGTTTGAAAGACAATCAATCTTCAGAAAGCCTGACGTCACTTGTGTGACAGTTCTTGAAACCACAGAATGAGATAGTGGGGGCTTGAGTCTCCTAAAGGGATTGGCAGTTAAGGAGGCACTGAGGTTGCGCTACTGTCACCACTGGTCTATGGCTGCTAGGTCTTTTTACCTTCATATCAGACTCTCCTCTCCCTTGAACTTACTCTTGACCCTACCTCGAGACCTGCAAAGGGCCAAGTGAAGACACAGAGCCCCCATGAAAGCGGCCTCACTGCCTGAGCTATCGAGGGGCCCAGGAAGCCTCACAGAGCAGAGAAGCTCCCATCTCCCTGCAGGCCCAAGGGAGAAGGGCGTGAACTGGAGAGAAGGGCAGTGATGTGTTGCCTCTTGGAAAGTTCCTGCTCTGTGTCTGGGCTTTGCAGTGTAAAGAGTTGTTGGCTGCCTCTGGCCCCAGAGCCTGGCTCCTGTTTAATATTCTGCCTGCTCCGTTGATGTTGTGCTTGGCTCCTGTGGGACTGCAACTCACGGCTTGAAACTGGAGCCAATTTTCTGTCTTCATCTCGCAGTGTTTTGACTGGAGGCAGATCCAGTTCAGGCCGATCAGGGCTGGTGGAAACAACTACCAAGTGTCTCTCTGTCTGCTTTGCTTTGGGAGAAGAAAGTGGAGGGAGCCCCAGCATGTTGTAGAGGAACTG
Organism: Homo sapiens; assembly: GCF_000001405.40. Taxonomy (NCBI): domain Eukaryota; kingdom Metazoa; phylum Chordata; class Mammalia; order Primates; family Hominidae; genus Homo; species Homo sapiens. The sequence continues at coordinate 210,237,393 of NC_000001.11, forward strand.
GCCTGCGGAAACGAGAGGAGGAGGGTGCAGGGGGCAGCGGAACAGACTGAACCTCAGAGCATCAGTTGGAATTACGGTGGATATTTCTGCTTCCCCTGCCCTTTTCTTTTGATTGATTAGTGGATTTCATCAAAGGAGACTCCCGGGGGATTGACTAGAAAATTGATTTTGCCTTATTAATAGAAAGGAAGCGCAAGGGTTTTGGCTTCTTAGCAGTACATTTTCTTTGGAAGGTCAGGAGGAAAATGTGTTTAGGAGGCAAAGCAGCTGTCTAGAAGAGGGCTGAAGGGAATCTGAGAACAATAAGAAATGGGGTTTTAAAGATCCGCCCATGAAATGCAGATTGCTGAACACAGAGGCTGAGCTAATAGCAGCTAGAGAGTTTGCTGAGGTTTTCTTTGAAAAAATAATAAAATGTTTCAGGGTAAAGGGGAGGGCCGAGAAGTAAAAGTTTCCCAAAGCAAAGAAATGAAGATGCCAAGGCCGTCCCTTGGCTTGCTCTTGATTAGGGCTGTTTTCTTCATTCTTGTTTTTTTTTTTTTTCTTTTCAGATCTGAGGCTGTCAGAGATGACTCTGGTTCTGTCCATGAATAGATTCTGCGAGCCCATTGTCTCGGAAGGAGCTGCTGAAATTGCTGGGTACCAAACACTATGGGAGGCTGACAGCTACGGAGGCCCAAGCCCCCCAGGGCCAGCACAAGCTCCTTTGCAGGGAGACCGGGGAGCTGGTCCCCCACTGGCAGGTATTGCCCTTGACCTGCGCCCATCCCCCCCACCCCTCGCTGCCCTTTGCAGCCAGCCTGGTGGACAGGAGGTGGTGTCTGGGGTGCCCCTCTGAGCCAGGAGAGCTAAAGCTCCAGGGACTTCCCGGGCTGCCTGTGCGCCTCTCATAAGTGAGTCCAGAGCTCCAGAGAGAGGACCAGAGGTGATATTTAAATTGCATTCAAACCTGTGTCTACCCATGCTGCTTTTTGAATATAAGTCATGTGTCTGTATTTTTAAGAGGGCCAAACCAGATATTGAAACTCTGAGTTTGGGTTTTGGTTTTCTACCCTGTGGAACTGTATGGTTCTCTCACAACTATGAAAGCTCTGGTGGGCTCAACAATGACACCTTTATCCCATGAGATATAAAGGAATCTGCACTTTGGGCCAGCAGCTATGAGCTTCTTTTCTTTGTTAACCCATTTATGCCCAGTGTTCCATTATTGGAACGCTAAGCTTGTGGAAGTTATTTATATCCTACTGCTCAAGGTCATCACCAAGGTCTGACTTTTCAAACACAAAAAAATTTGCAACCTATGGCATAAATGGGTAAAGCACACAATTGGTTTTAGGATTGTAGGAAAAAAATTTAAAGCCAAGAAAATAGAAGTATGTTCTTCCTGATTCTTTCTTCTTATAGTTTAAGTTCCTTTGGATTTTTTTGCAGTATTAGCTATTTTTAAAAGAAACTAAAATATAAAACAAGTACTCAATGAAGTCTGTTTTGCTAAAAAAGATTAAAAACTGTGGTCTTCATGGTTGGCATACTACATTTTGGAGAGTGAAAAGGACATTAGTTACCCAAAATTTTAACTCAAATTTTAAAAATTTGAATTTTGTATTTTGAAAAAAAGGAATGCTATAATCCCAATGTGCAGATAACCATTTGTTCACTAACCTAAAGCCAATAAGATTTCAAAGTTGTTTGGTTATCAGTGGTTACAGTTAAAGATGTATACATCTTTAACAGTGGTGCTATGTTGTCATGAATTTAATTAAACAATTTAAATAAATACTAATATATTTTAGAGAAATTACACTCCTCCCCTTTATGAATGTTGCAGTTTCCTTTTGCATAGAATTAAGATTCTGCATATTTATTAAATGCTAAAATATGTGATTTTCCTCTATAATTGCCTAGAAATCTTTTCCTAGCCTGGGTCACAGGATTCCATATGATAGCAACTATTAAGACAAATGTTTATTTTTAATCACCACATGTACAGACAAATATGTAGCCAAGTTATCCTCTAGAAGGAAAGGAAACGAAAGTATTTTGTTTGGAGAACCTCTGGCAAACCGCATGTCATTTGTCATATCTGATTTATTACCACAGGATCACATTACAGGGGAATTTCAAATCCTATAACAACATCCAAGATCACATACTTTAAGAGGAAGTATGTGGAAGAAGAGGATTTTCACCCACCACTCAGCAGCTGTAGCCATAAAGTATGTTTTTTTAATAGTCATTATTTTTATTAAGAGTTTAAGATACTTAGTAACAGTTGCTTGATCCACTTCCAGGAATTAAATTGTTTCACCCAAGCAATGAAAATGAGCCACTTCTCAGTGGAGCCTCATTAATCGTTGTCGCTTTTTTGGGTCCTGTGTTATTTTTCACAAGTACTTGAAGAAAAAGCTGGCAAGAGCTATTCTACCCAGAAATGTCAAAATTATGTAATCCAAGGAATTTTTTTTAACGTATGATTTAATATTTCTCAGACTGTGTTTTGGGTTATGGTTCTTCCACACTTTTGTGTGTGGGGAATGCGCTCGTTCTTTCCTGTCATGTTCTCCCCAGTCTGAGTTCTGGCTCCTGCAGCCAATGCTACTTCCCTGTGTGTCCACATGGGGGTGGTTACACAGGGCTTTTCCTGACCTCTTATGGGTAGACTCATCATCCTTGAATGTGTGTATACAAGTAGAAATATGCACTTCACTGGACATGGGTTACATATAAGTTTGTTGAAACATGGACTTCATTTCCAGGAAAAGACCAAAGCTAACTTTTTTGTAGGTATAGTTAAAAAAAAAAACAAGATGGGGAAATTGCATAGAATTATGAATCTGGGCATCTAAGCTTTTGAAATATCAGTTCATTTTTCTTTAGAGTTACCTTCCTTCAATAACTATCTGCTGATTTAATCAAGGCAGGTATAAGCACAGACCATAGTTGTCTGAAATGCAGAGAGGATTTTCAATTCTTCTTCCTCTCTGTCTCCTCTTGCCTTCCCCCTCTGCCACCTCATCCTTTAGATGTTGCTTTTACCTTGCTCATGAAAAGACAGCAGAATGCATTGGTAGGTACTGGGCTTTTCCCTGCATGTGTAGTCCCTGCCTTTGGTCAGTATGGGCTGGTTTAGTTCACAGCTCCTCAGGTTATGGTGCCAGTTTGCTTTTTTGATGGCCTGGAATAACTGGTCCCCAGGACACAAGCAGTTTATTTCCTTTTTAGTTTCTGTGTTGTGGTTGTAGCAGTTTCCCAGTTGCTACTGGATTTGCACCAACCATCGCATAGTGACAGTGTCACACAGCTCAGGAGTGAGCCCTCTCATTTCCTCTCGGCATCTCGTCTCCCACTCAGCTCCACAAGGAAGCCTACTTTGGTCCTTCAACTGACACATTCTGTCAGGGTCTGAGCCTCATTCATTAGTGTGTCCTCTTATCAAGCAAGGATAATTGCAAGTATGAAACCCAAAGGATTAAAAGAGGGACAGCATTAAAAGCCAAATCTCATGCTCCTTCTTGGCTAGACCAGGGTTTGAAGTATATTCATTATGACTTGCATTTTGGCATCATTTTAAAAACATGTATTGATGTACAATATATGAGTTATGTGTCTGTGTGTGTGTATTTGTATAGACACACATAAAAAAGTACAGGTATCACAGTACAGCTTGATGAATTTCATGAGGTCATGTAACTAACATCCAGGTCGAGAACCAAAACATAACTAGCAACCAGAATCTTCCTTCTGCCGGCTTCTAACACTACCCCTCGCCCCGCTCACCCCAACTCTGAAAGTACCTCCTCTCCTGACTTCTAATAGCTTAGATTAGTTTTGTGTTTCAGCATCTTCCTTATTGGGCCATAATAGATCAAACCACCTGAACTGTCCCTCCTGGGGCCTGCACTGTGGCTCGATTCCCTAGTGCTTGACCACACCAGTGAGTCAGGAAGTGGGTGGGTGCTCCAGCCAAGTGAGGAAAGGGAATATCAGCAGAATGGGGGACAGCCTCTCTAAATTAACCCTGCGGAACAAGACCACAACATGCCCAGACCCAGACAGTGCCAAGAAAGAAGTATGCTATGATGATGTTTTCATATAGTCCATTTTCTAAGCTTTCTCTCTTCCTTTTTCTGTTTGTTTTTTTCTTTTTTTTTTTTTTGGTTTGTAGACCATCTCAATTTTTGAGGAACGAGCCCACATCCTTTATATGTCCTTAGAAAAGCTAAAGTTTATCGATGATCCTGAAGTGTACCTCCGAAGATCTGTCCTTATAAACAATTTGATGAAAAGGATCCATGGAGAAATTATCATGCAGAATAACTGGTGCTTCCCTGCCTGCTCTTTCAATGGCACCTCTGCCCAAGAGTGGTTTATGGCTCAAGACTGCCCTTACCGAAAACGACCACGGATGGCCAAAGAGGAATGTGAAAAGTTTCATGCCTGCTGCTTTTACCAAGAATGTGGTGGCCACTACCTAAATTTACCCCTTTCTGTCAATGCTAATGTTGGAAGTGCCTCCACTGCTGCCTCCTCTCCCTCCGCCTCTTCTTCCTCCTCATCTTCCTCTTCCTCTCCCCCTTTGCCTTTACCGAGTTGTTCCCGCCAGGTGGATTTTGATGTAGGTAGTGCATCTATTTACAAGAGTGATGGCCAGATACCTGCCAATGAAATCTTTGTCACTAATGTCAGATCACTTGGTGTTCAGGAAAAGGCCAAATTAAATGATGAGAAAGCAAATGATGACACCAACAGAGATGGTGGCCCCCTCAGCCACGAACCTGTGGGAAATGACCTTGCTTTTGAGTGCAAAGGCCAATTTTATGATTATTTTGAGACCGGATATAATGAAAGAAACAATGTAAATGAATCTTGGAAAAAGTCCTTACGGAAAAAGGAGGCTTCACCACCAAGTAACAAACTGTGCTGCAGCAAAGGAAGTAAAATATGAGCCATCTTCTCACCGAACTTTGAAGCATGCACAGCATGATCAGTTAGCTCTCGTAAATTTTATTTTGAATGGATTTTGTAGTTTTGTACAACAGATAAAATTATGCCATGAACATGCCATGTCGTTTTAATGCCTGGAGAGCAGATTGCGTAAAACATCTGTATAGCAGGCATCAGCGAGCTTCTTATAAATGTGGTGATTTTTACCAAGGAAACGATTGACTTAATGCTTAAAAGTATATCATAGTTTTCTTACGGAAAAGATCAGTAGATGAGATTGGGGGACAATGTGCCCTTGCAATATTTCCATTGCCCCCCAAGGAGCCTGTCACTAGCTAAGAAATTTCTACATGTTTGCCAGTTAATTAGGGAGTTATTTGGTAAGCAAATCAATATAACCAGCAAAGATACCTGCTTCTTCTATATGATACAATATTTTTTTTAAATAAAAGACTAAAGACAGGGAGCTAGATGAAATGGCTTAATGGTGCTGTTAAGTATTTGTACCTAACAGTCTTGTGTGACAGATGAAAATAGGATGTAACATAATGAAACACACCTGTCTAGGGGCGGCAATCAACAGTCTTACACAGAGAGGGTATTCCCTGCAAGTTTCTGGCTTGCCTGTGATGGGTGATGAGGCTTTTAGAGAGGTGTTATACAGGGCGATTTTTGGTGCCTTACTTTTATCTTAATTTTTGCCAATGTGAAAATTAAGGATAAATCAGAGTTACAGCAGGGATTTAACAAACAGGACAAAAAAAAAAAAAAAAAAAAAACCACAGGGTGGATCAATATGGTTTGGAAACTGTTAACTTTGAACTATTGTGTTCAGCTTTTGATTCGACATCTCTATTCTTTATTTTTGATGCCCAATTGCTTTTGGATTCGCCGTTTTTTCAATAGGGATGGAGGAAATGAGAGAGAGAGCTGTTAGAAAGCAGCACGGGCTGCTCGAGCTTTTCTATGGCAACTGTGTGTTGCTGGGGTTGGGGTTTTCTGGGTTTTGGGTTGTTTTGTTTTGTTTTCTTGTCCAATGAAGTTCACGAACCAGTGGCATGCATTATACTTTTCTCTGTTTTGCATCATTTCACTTGTTTAGATTATAAAAGCATGTGGGTTTTTATATATGAACTTTGCTGTTGATTAAGAAGCACAATGTTAATAAATGATGTGGTGATCAATAAGGTTTATCTTAAAGAATGTAAAGACTTTAGGTTTTTGAAAGTTATTTTGGAGAAATGGGACTTAATCTATAATAGTTACTATGTATTTGGTCTACATTTTCCAAATAATATCTTTAACTTGTACATTTGAAAAGTGTTCAGAGTGGCCCTCCTACCATCCTTCCTTCCACTCCAGCCAACTCTTCCTGCTAAACTGTATTCCAGTTTCCAAGTTTACTAATTGACTTGGGCCTGTTCAAATAATACTTCACAGAAACCAAATGCCAAACGGAGGAAATAAGTAAGCCCTCCCAGTTTCTCCAAGATAAAGCTTTTTTTATTATTGCTATTAATATTAAATATAGGTCTCATTCATACAGTGTATGAGTAGGATCATTTGGACAATTGTCCACAAAGACCAATTTTTAAAACATTTTCTTGTGTTATAGTTAAATAGTCTAGTAATGTTTTGTCCTTTATTTTCAATATTTGATAAACATTTGATGTTCAAAACTTAGCTAATAGATGCTTGTATATGAATGTGTTGTAATAAAGTGAGGTTTTCTTGATATATATTTATTAAGATGATAAAAATTCATTAAGTTTTTTAAATTTTAATGGCTATTGGCTATGTTTCTCTTTTCCATTATTCTCTCTCCTTTAAAAAACTCAAAACATCTAGAAACTGTAGTGGATAGTGGCCACACAGGAGTTTTCTAAATTAAAGAGTATTTTAAAATGCCAATCTGACAGGTGTTTCAGAATGATCCTAGTTCGTAAGTTTAAGTTTCTATTGATTAAGAAGCACAATGTTAATAGATGATGTGGTGATCAATAAGGTTATGTCTGAAAGAATGTAAAGATTTTCCTTTCTGGAGTGTCTCTGAAAAAAATTGTATAACACGAAGCCATAAATACTGAATCTTAGCTGATTGCATTATGAACTGTCAAACTGTGAAGATGACCCATATGTAAACAGTTATAACAGCTACAGATTATTGCTAGTAGCATTCCATACAATTCCATATTAATGTTCTTAGGAGCTAATATTTGATAAAGGGGAAAGCTAGTTAAAAACTAATTAATTTGTCAAATGTAGCATTCTTATTATGAGTGTAATATCTCATGGAGATTTAAATATGAACGAAAGGACTTATCCTTCTGCTTTTTAAAAGCCCCAGCATTACTAGATAGTGTTTTTCTTGAAGGCCAAAGCTGTAAAATGACAAAGTTGGTGATTTTCAGCAGCACTCACCTGAGCTGTGAGCGCCTGCACCTGTTCGGTAGAACCCACTAGAATCACTTCTCTGTAGGATAAGTGATGCCTTTGAATCCAGCAGCATAAAAATCTGTTCTTTTTAGTCATCAAGTTTTTGTTTCCAGGATATTTCTAGCATTGCAAAAAAAAATTTCTTCACCAAACACTAATTCCTAAACACCCATCCAAACCACAAAAATTCTCTTGTTAGTAGGCGAGAGTGCTAGGACTTCCTGTGTTCACCTCCCATGCACCCAGCATTGTCTTTTATGCATGAGATATTCCATTAGATTTTCCTAGAGTGGCCAGGACACCCTTCATAGTAAGTTATATCTCTTAACTGGATTCTATAGTTTTATCTCGAGCAACTTGGAAAAGCTAAGACATCCTCCACCCACACTGGTATCTACGCGCCTGGAAGCTGCACCTTCTCTCATTGCTGTGCTCTGCTTTAAGGAAAACCTGATATGACAGAATCAAGACTATTAAAAGATAAATGAGGGGAAATCTTCATTTAAGAAAGTTGCCTTGCTCCCCAAGAGTGCCTTTAATTGCTATTCCCCTAGGCATCTGGGTGCATATCATTAATGAAATCATTAACCTTTGTCTCTGGTCCTTCCTTTCTAAAAACAGCAGATTATAGAAGGTGGTCTGGCAAAGGGATTTTCAAAGGGCAAAAGTCTCATCATCATCTTTCCACTCAAAATCCTATTATTCTACATTTCACTTTGCAGGGGTCCTAGGGACAGGATTGCAGGGACAGGGGACATGGGAGGAAGACAGAAAAATTCAAAACCAGCAGATGCCACTACCTGGCAATGAATTGAAAATTAGGGGAAAGCATCTTTGGCGTGACCTTTTATTAAGACAACAGAAATTTAGAACATTTTACATGCTTCTTTGTTAAATGGTGAAGCAAGGGAATGAAAGTATTTATTTTTAGAGCTCATAGTTAACTCCATCAAGACATGGCTACCCACCCCTCCAGTTATGAACTTGTATTACAGCTCCACTTGGTGACTTCCTTTCTGTGTATCAGGAGCAGAGCAGAGGACAACTTGTAGAAGACATGACCATTAAGAGACATCAACTTCGCAACAAATATAAGACAAGGATACAAGGATTCCTATGTGATGCAGCTAGGTTTTTATATCCTTCTAACAAATGGTGAGCAGGAGACTTTTTTGGAAATAATTAGTTGTGAAATTCCATTTTTCTGACAGCCCCTTAAATTTGAAGTTATTTCATTTGTAGTTAAGGTTATCACATCCCTGCCAATTTTACTAGATTTTTTCAGAGACAAGCATTCAGCATGGCATTAGTAATGATGGTTTAAACTAGGTGCAGAACTGTCCCATGAAGAGAAGAATGATATCAGTATTTAAATAATAAAAGAAGAGACAATGTATGGTTTATAGTGATTCATTTTAAGATTGCTGTATTTTGATTTTGTGGTTTAAAATAAATGCATTAAGGATCTTTTAAGTTACTACAAGATGCCTCTCTGTTGCTTTCTTAGCTATAGTGCCTAAGCAAGGTATATTATCTTGACATGGCTAAAATGTCTCAATTCTATGTGATATAGCTACACGACCTGGGGTGAAAGAGTTACTAGTTTGGAGATTATTTCCCAGCCTTGGGTACCTGCCATATTTGAGCTGGGAGAACTCACTTAGGAAAAGCACTTGCAAAGATGTAAGTTATGAACACTTGAATCTCGCATCCTGCCATAAAGTGCATCAGCAAGTGACTTTAATAAAACATGCTGTTTAAAATAGTCTGTAATTTCCTGTTTCTGCATTTCCCTTCAGTATCTGTGACAGGCTGAAGAACGATGACTAAACGAAGGGAATTTACACAAGCTAGTCTGGTGGTGTTTGCAAACCATCGCCATGAGCTTCATCTTCTTTGGTAAACAATCCGCTGGTGGGCTGTCTATGGTTGGTTTCTTTTCTTTGTTGTTGATCCAATTTGTTAACTTTGAAAATGCAAACTACTTATTCACAGTGTGGAAACACCTGCTTTTGACCACAATGAAACTGATAGAATGTATGGCGATGTATTAGTTGTTTCTCATGAAATTTCTTATATTTCTCAACCCCATTTCTATGACTCTTCTCTTGATTTAAAAATATGAAAATCGAATAAAATCTTGTGGGGAGGACCTACATATAAAAGAACTTGCAGAGATGTAAGTTATGATCTTGCTTTGTGCCAAGATCTCCAAGACAATAGGCAAATATCAGAACTTTGGGGGAAAGGGATCTAACGTACCCTAGTCTTGTGCTGTGCAGACCAGCCTGGCCTTCGGCAGGCATTACCTCTATCCAGATCTTTCCATGGAAGCAGCTGAGTCCAGGCATCAGGCATATGATTCTCCACTGCCTCCTCTGGTCAGCACACACATGAACCCATCTTTGATACTTCTAGACGCAGTGCTTTTTCTTCAGATACCCTCTAAAGTGACTGCAATGAACTAAGCTCTCAGATGTGGTAAGACCCTGGTATCCTCTCAGCCAAGAGATGAGTAGATGTCTCTGAAATACACTTGGCACAGCACTCAGATATCTATACCATCTTCAAAACTCACAACATCCCTGTGTGCACAATAAGCAAAAGATAGAGAATGACAGGCTATGCAAGGGATTTGCGCAAAAGGTTGGGGAGTTGATCTCTGGTCCAGTACACTGAAGGAAATCTGAGAAATACAGTGCTCCCTGTACACTGCAGAGTGAATCCACTCTCTTTAAGGAAAAGTCTAAAGACTGCAAGGGAAAGAAGACAGAATTTTTTGTTTCTTTGTCAAACCTCTTTAGGAAAACAGAAAAAAACATTTCAGGGACTAAAGGATTGTTTTAAATGTTTTTGCAGGAAGAGAGAAATGGCTTGTCTGCCCTTTCTGGAGCTGGGAGGGGTTCTCCTTGTTCTCCATGTCCTTAGATGCTGTGCTTTTCAATAAACCCACCAAACTGTATTTGTGAACAGTTATGGTCATTAGCCCAAGGAATCTCTCTCCTGTTCAGTTTAGGCACAGAGGTTGTGGGTTTCTCACAAGACTGGAGTATAGAAGAGGGTTAAGAGTAGGGGGTTTGGAGTTAGACTGCCTGGATGAAAATCTCAGCTCTGCCAGGGTAGCTGTGCAAGCTTGGCCTTGGCCAACAAGCCACTTTACCTCCTAGTGCCTCAGTTTACTCATCTGTAAAATGGAGCAGCACACATTATCCACCTCATCAGGTTGTCAGGATTAAAGGTTTTAATATCAGGGAAGTGACTCAACATTGCCTGGGTGTACATTATGGGTTTGCAGTGAACAAGCCTCCATGACTTCTCCATTACTGTCCTTGAATGCCCGGCAAGTGGAACCCAACCGTGCCAGATCCTCCTTTTGGTGGAAAGTATTCAGCCTCTTTGGTTCTGTACAGCAAGCTTGAAGTTAAACAGGGGGATGGTATGAAACCTGGGGTCCCAGGGCCCTTAGCTATGAAAGTCGTCATTGGTGACCTTGAGATATGTTTAGTATTTAAAATACCAAATCATAAAATCTTCTGAAAGTGGTTGCACAGGCTAACCCCACATCAGATTTCCTTACCTTTGGCTGGAATTAAATCAGCTCCAGGCTGTCACAAACTGAGAAGAAACTCTGACTGGGAAAACGAAGGCATTATCCTTAATAAATACAATTTGTTTGTCAGACAGAATCTTTCAGAACATTGGCTATGTGAAGGGAATAAGAGGTGTCCCTTACAAATGGAAAGATTAAAAACCACTAACCTCTGACTCATCTCTAGGATTTGCCAAAGTTCAAGTTTATTTAGTTGTTGTATCAAATAATTTTCTTAAACCTAGCTTTTACTCAGAAAAAGTACAGTATTAAGTTAGGAAAAAAAGGGGGGGCAGGCGCGGCAGCTCATGCCTGCTGGTAATCCCAGCACTTTGGGAGGCCAAGGCGGATGGATCACTTGAGGTTAAGAGTTCAAGACCAGCCTGGTCAACATGGTGAAACCCCGTGTCTACTAAAAATACAAAAGTTAGCCGGGCCTGTGTGGTGGGGGGCGCCTTTAATCCCAGCTACTCGGGAGGCCAAGGTAGGAGAATTGCTTGAACCTCAGAGGCAGAGGTTGCAGTGAGCCTAGATGGATCCACTGCATACAGCCTGGATGAGGAAGTGAGACTCTGTCTCCAAAAAAAAAAAAAAAAAAAAAAAGGCAGGAGGGGGGCAGGGGAGATAATTTAGACTAAACGCTATTCCTTGTGCTCCTCTACCTGATAATTTTGGAGGCCAAAGCAGAATTGTCTGGATAACCACAACCAAGGACACAGCCTATTATAAAATAACTGGGATACAGTTTCCATGTATAAGGTCAACTAGAGGTTGGTTATCCCTATTTCAAATTCTTATCCCTTCTGTTTTGCCAGTAAACTCAGAAACCCACTGATAATTTCAAAATAGAATTCCATTTACAAAATTACATTCTGTCTCTCTATTTTTGAAGAGTATATATTTTTCCCTAAGGTGAGGTTCATTTGTAGCAGGCTTGCTGATGGGTAGGTCCTGAAATGAGAACAAAACTGAACCATATGGCTTGAGAATGAGAAATGGGCAACAGAGTATAATGAGAGCAAATGCAGTGTTGTACCATGGGGGTCCCAGGACTTCTCTGCAAGAGGCTCCCCTCCTATCTGACTGGGCTAGGATCTCATGATTGGCAACATTAGTTGCCATTTGAGCCAGCTGAGAGAGGCAGTGGGAAGCCAGGACACCTCAGCCTGCCCAGGGAGGTCTAGGCTGGCCATCTCTAAACCTTTGTCCTCTCAGAGTTTGGAAAACCAGCAGCTGGAGTAGATATTTTTATTTCCCAATCAGTAGAATTTTAACCAGTTAAGATGATCAATTAGAATTCTCAACCAGCCCAATCTTGACCTAGCTGGTTTTAGGCAAGATGACTTAATGCACAAGGGACATCTCTATCTAGAGATGGTATTGGTCCCTGCACAGAAAGAACTCTTAAAGAAATTCTGGGGCCATTTATCTGGGTGTTTTAAGTGATGAATAAAGAAATACATACTAGGAAGAATCCTGGGATGGAATTTGTACGAATTAATTGATTTCTAACACTTGTTCTTATTATAGATCCAACAAAGCTTACCTCAATCTTTTAAAAATGTCCTGTTTAGGCCAGGCACGATGGTGCACACCTTAATCCCAGCACTTTGGGAGGCCGAGGCAGGAGGATCGCTTGAAACCGGGAGGTGGGGGTTGCAGTGAGCCTGCAGTCCCCACCACTCTGGAGGCTGAGGCATGAGAATCGCTTGAACCCCAGAAGCAGAGGTTGCAGTGAGCTGAGATTGCGCCACTGCACTATAGCCTGGGTGACAGAGCAAAGAGCAAGAATCTGTCCAAAAAATAAATAAATAAATAAAAGAAGAAGAAAGCAAAAAGAAAGAAAGAAGAAGAAAAAGAACAAATCATAACTCTTCATTTATTTGCTTAGAGTCAATCTATTGTATTGATTTCTGGTCAAATGACTGCTGTTTCTTAACCACAAGATTATAACCAACTTAGTGGTGAGAACTAGATTAGGAGTTAGGAAACAGAGTCTTGCCCAGGTTTGCCACTCACTAGCTGTCTAACCATGAACAAGCTCCTTCACTTCTCTGGATCTTGATTTTCCATCTGTCAAATGATGAGGCTGGATTCAAAGGGCCTCTAAAAGATTGTTCCCTTCTAACCTTCTCTTCTGATTCTAACAATTCCTGATTCTAACAATCAGGGATCTTTCTGAAGATGTTCACTTGAGTTTTCTGCATGTCACCCTTTCCTTTCCTTCCCTTCCCCAGAATGCCTTTTTTCCCTCCCAGTGAAACTGAGAAACTGCTTCTGGATCTTTCTTTAAGAACACATCTCTGAGTTTTCCTGTCCCAAATGATTGTTTTCTGCATATGGCGGCTAATCTATTGTCTTCTGTAATATACATTCCTCCGGATAGGCCATGCTTCCCCATTCTCACTGCAGTTCCTCTGCCCCTCCCCCTGGAGTGCTCCTGCCCCCGCCTCCTTTAGCCGATTAGCTCCACACACCCGGAGCCAGCCAGGCACAACGCGGCTCCCCCTGGCACAAGACTGTCCTCGCCTTCAAGCAACCAGCCTGTCTGCACCATGCAGGCAGGAGATCCGTGAACCCTCTTCTCTCTCATTCTTATGCGTAATAAAATAGCGGACTTTCCCCCTTCTTTTTATGAAGACAGTTCTTGCAGCTGTGACTATAACTGTTTTTTTTTTTTTTTTAAATACCAGCCAAGATTATGGTCCCATAACCCAATTAGTGTCATTTGGTTGTGGTCCAAGGGCTTCCCCTGCACGAGTTTTAATTTGGGGATCCCCGGAGGCTGCACTCCACATCTGTAGCCGGCCTGTTCTTCCTCTCCCCTTATTTGCTCGAGGTTTATGGGAGGATTAGCTGTGTGGTCTGGGAGGCGGCTGCTTCTCTTTCATCCTCACGGCTCTCGAGCCGCGGAGGAGCCTTTTACTTTTCATCATCAAGCCCTGGCACCTGGAGGGCGGGCAGCCCTAGCGACTGGAATGAATCAGAGGATGCCCTGCAGGCCCCGGGGGGCGCGGCCCTGCAAGCATGGGGGAGGGGAGGACGGGGGAAAGGCTGCTTATTGGGCTGCTCAGCACCCGGCCAGACTGCGCTGTGCTGGGACGGCGAGGGGGTGGTGAGGAGGGCAGCCGCAGTGTGAGGTGGCCCCCCCCCGCCCCGCCCCCACTCCCTGGCTGGCGAGGGCTGGCAAGGGCTCCGGGCGCTCATTGTGCAGGCAGCTGGCACCAGCTGGGAAGGGGAATTAGCATAACAAAGAGCCGGAGCGAGCGCGGCGCGGCCCGGCGGGGGCTCTGCCGAGCGCCCCGGGCTCGGAGGAGCCGCGCTGTCAGCGGCTGTGGCGCGCTCGGGCCTCCTGGCCTGAGACCCTCGGAGCAGCGGGGCCCGGCCCCCAGCGGGCGCGCTCTGTCTGGGTTCCGGCCGCAGGACTCGCCCGGAGAATGCAGTGGGTGTGGGTGTGTCCGGGACAGCGTGAATGGGCGTGGGTGTGTGTGTTCGGGTGAGTGTGGGTGCCCGTGTGTCCAAGCGTGCGTGTAACCGTGTCCCTGGGCGTGGGAATGCGGGTGTGAAGGGGTCACCTGCACACGGGTGGGGACCCGCCAGCCCTCTTCCCTTCCGCCCCAGGAAGGCCTCTTTGTTTATTTCTTTCCGGAGACCGCGGTGGTTCTTCAATCACCAGTTCTCAATCCTGATTGCACCTCGGAGCCCCCTTCGGGAGCTTTTACAAAACCCTCAGGCCTGAGCCCTACCCCAGAGGCTCGCGATGAATTGGACTCTGCTGAGGCCCCCAGCGGATGTTTCTTCAGACGTCCGCGTGGATTCCGACATGCGGCGTGGTTGGGAACCGCCGAGTACCCACTCCCACTGTCCCCAGCCCTGCTGCCGACCCTGGACGCCAGCGAGCGCCAAGGAGACCGGGGCCGGCTTGGCCTCGGGTTTAGGGCCTGGAAGCTTATCCTTCGCCTTCACTGGTTGAGGTCAAGTGCACATTCCCCCGACACTAGCGCTGGGTCTTAGGCTACCGACTGGGCAACCTCACCTCCATTATTGCATCTAAGCCTTACAGCAGCCCCATGGGAAAAAAGCTGTCGTGAAACGAAGCTCAGTTGAGTGTCACAAAGGGTCACAAAGCTAGGTATTCGACCCACCGAATTGGAGTCCAGGGCTATGGGACTCCAAAGTCCACGTTCTTTCCACTGTAATATTTAAAAATAAAAATTAAACAACTAAATCAAAAACCACCGCTGCTTTTCAAGTGCTGCCAAGACCTCAAGCTGACCAGGTCCCTGGAAAAACCCTGGGAGGACTCTGGAGGAGGCGGGGTTAGGGTGTAGCAAGACTCCTGACCCCAGAAGGTAGATACGGCCTAGACGACGTCACTAGAAATTGCCCGGGGCGTCTTCTCTCCAGCAACCTTCTGCACCGCCTTCCACCTGGGTAGTCTCCCTCCCCGTCCCGGCCCTTCCAGGCTCCAGCTCCCCACCCCCTCCCTACAGGAAGGAAATGTGACAGCACAAGCCGTTCGCCATCACCCAGGAGCTGTCAGCAGCTGCGCAGCCCGGGGCGGGAGAGAGCACCGCGGTCAGAGACCCGGGGACCGGGGAGCTGCACCACCGCGTTCCGGGCCCCGCGCCTGGGCTTCGCCTCGCTGCACCGCGCCTGCTTGCTCCTAGCGGGAGCCCAGAGTCTCCGAGTCTCCTCAACAGCTTCGCGACAGGAGTCTCTTGCCTCAGCTGCCTGAGCAGTCCTCCTGGAGAGGGAGGAGAGGAGGATGAAATGAGCTCTGGGCTCTGCTAGCCCCAGACTCCCCCATTACCCAGAGGTGTGGGTTTCCACGAGTGCAGGCTCCAACCAGCGCCTTAGCATCACCAAGCTCCAGAGGGCCCTGGGCTTCTGAGGCCACCCAGGCCCACCCACCCTTCTCACAGCAGGGGAGATAAAGGTCCAGGGAGGTGAAGTGACTGGAGGTTTCATGGCCTCCTGACTGCCTGCCCAGCTTTACTCTGGCTGCACCAGACCCTTTAACAGGCAAACCTGTCAGTGCTTACTTACCGGGGACATTTTCTACAGAGAGAACCTCAGTGCTGGGGAAAGGAGTAACTATAGGCTTGCAGGCAGCATCTGCCCACAAGGTGCCCTGGAGAGAGGGAAAAGTTGGAAACCCTGGGCCCCCAGCCTGAGCACTACCCAGTTTGAGTTTCTGGGGCCTGATGGGGCTGGTGGTGGCTGCTGTTGTTATTATTAAGAGTTCAGAATTCTCGTAGGTTCTAACAACTGTGTTCATTCTCAATAAATGGTTTCTTAATAATCGTTTTAATTAGCAAAAAGGCTGTCTTATTAAAGCTAATTAAAGGCAATTTGGGAACCTTATTTTCATACAATCATAAAATTAGAGAAACAAGAGGCAGGAGAAATGGGAAAAGTCTCAGCTTTTCTGCAGAGGGGGCAGGGAGGAGCTGGGGAGACCCTACCTCCAAGCCAGGCATGCAGAATGCCAGTGCCCAAGGGGGTGGACTGGAGCTCCTAGATTTGGGTGTGGCCTCAGGCAGTGCTGGGGACCAACTGCTGAGAGGGATACTCTGTTCACATCCTCCAACTGGAGTCTCAGAGTCACCTGAACTCCTCCCTCTGCTCTCACACAATTAGTCAATTCTCTCCCTCTAGCTATCTTTACATTGAAAAAGAAGGTGCTACTATTGCACCTCTGCCATTGCACCTGGCAGCCATAACCTAGGTGGTTTAGCATCCATCAGGTGCCTTAGCATCACCAAGCTCCACAGGGGCCCAGACTTCTGAGCACCCAGGGTTATCTACCCTTCTCACAGCAGGGGAGATTAAGGTCCACCGAGGTGAAGTCCACAGCCTCAGCCCTGCCCAGGGTGCCCCCTAAGTCCCCAAGCATTTCCACTCCATCCATTCTGTAGCTGATCATCCTAAATCACCAGGCAAACAGGAATACTTTACCTCCCAGGTTTGACTTTCAATGCCCTCCAGACCTCAGCCCAGGCTACATGCCCAGCCCCACCTTCTGCTCCCTGGGGGGAACCTTCTGCTCCAGCCACTTCTGTCCTCTCAATGTCCTCTCTTGCTGACCTGCAACTTTTCACCTCCCAGCCTTCACTCCTGCTTTTCCCTTAGCCTGGGATAACCTCTCCATGCCCCCACTTATACAAAGAGTAACTTGCCCTCAAGGCCACTTCAAGGTCCACATTTTGTGTGAAGCCTTTCCAGGGCTACTATAGGTCTGTTCTGTGATACATAAAATGTAATATCCCCCCTCTCTAGAATTACTTTTCAACTAGAATCATAGTTTTGGGGGAGATTTTTTTTGGAAGGCATTATAAAGTAGAAATTAAACATGGGCTTTGGAATCAGAGAGCTTAGTTACAATCCTGGCTTCCTATAACTTTGTGACCTTGAGTAAATGTCTTGACTTCTGTAAGCGCAGGTTTCTTCATGAGTAAAATGTGGCTAACTATACCCATAACTAAGTTATTGGGATGGTGTATGTAAGTCACTTTACATAATGCCAAGCACACAATATGAATAGCTGTGGGACCCTTGTCCTTGTTGATGTGGGGGAATAGTTTAGAGTGACAATTTGTTGTTTTATGAGCATGTCCTCCAGAAAAAGAGAGCACCCAGTCAAAGGATAGATTCCATGGCTATCTGAACTTCCACTGCACTCATCCCTAGGGGTTCTAGTACCTCAGTACGCACCCCCATTCCTTCTCTCCAGGGTCCCTTCCAAATCCTAGGAAGGGGCTCTACCCTCGGGTCCATGGGATAGTGGTTTATGGGCACATACTTACTGTAAGTGTCTAGTGTCAGAACTCTACACAAGAAAGACACTAAACATGGGGTTAGCTCCTTGCCTTCTTGTTTTAAGTTGCCCAGTCTCCATCCTCAGTAGACCTCCCTGTAAACAACCCATTCTGGCAGGAATCTAACAGTCTAAAGGGCTCTCCAGTAAATTCTACCATAACACCAGGAATTCTTGCCTGTCCTTAAAAATGCAGCTTTGTGCATACATAGATTTTTTTGTACAGCAGGCTTTGTCCCTCTCCTTATCTGAAGGCCATGGGACAGTGGGTGGCCACGAATCTGCAGGGGGCTCCCCTTCTGTCCTTCCCTGAACATCCTCTGGATGAAACAACCATAGCAAAACTGACCTGGGAGGAAGAGCAATGAGCCCATGCATGAAATACTAGTGTTTAGCTGCCTAGTCTCAAAGCAATTGTTTAAGTAGGGGCCTCAGCCATGCTAATAGCTATTATCATAGGACCTTATGTCTATTAATGTCTCCTCAGCAGAAGGAAATGCAAACTTATGACATTCTGATTGTGATAAGCAGCACACTTTCACCTACGAGGGGCTGTAATCGAAGCAGAAGTGCCTCACAAATTAACTAGCAGTCGCCCACACATCAAGCACAGAAGATACTTTCTCTATCATAGGTAAGAAAGGGACTTATTTCTCATCCTGGAGCATCAGTGGCTGTGTCAGCCCCACCACAGCTTCTGATGGGACTGGAGCTACACTGACATGTATGATTAAAGCTCCATGTTATACCGCAGTGGCTGAGTTTTCAAGGAGATGGAGGAAACCTCACAGGACCCCTGGGGCAGGACACAACACTGCTCCTCAGAACATTCCTTTTAAAAAAGTTGTCATGAAATCCAATTAACCAGCTGGAAGGCCATCGTGGGCAGGCCTCCTCGGGGTTAATAAATAATAGAATATGCCCTACATTGGAAGGGGCATCTCTCTTTTCTAAGCTTGCAGGCTGTGACAAGGGCTCCTGGCAGGAAGAGACATGTACTACCACCACGTCCTGGTCCCTAAAACTTTGGTGAGTCCAGCAGTGAAGGTCCCCTAGACAGATGCCCAGAGTCCTGGGGGTACCTTCCCCCTCCCCTACACCGTAAGCCACAAATTCATCAACCCAGCCCCAGGTATGAGGGAATGAGGGGTCCTGTCTTGAGAGAACAGAGCATTAGAATGGGGTCAGGAGCTTTAGTTCTAGCTCCCGGTCAGTCTCATTGTCAGGCAAGCTGTTCACAGGCTCCTGTTCCCAGCTGAACAAGACTGATGGTAGAGAAGACTTCAAAGTGGGCACAGCAGGCTCTCTCTCACTGGTCCCCTCTCCGTGGCTGATCCCCCCGTGGGGAACACTTTACTTCTGTTAGACCAGCACTGCTCAATAAAAATACGATGCGAATCATGAATGTCATTTTCAATTTTCTAGTAGTCACATTAAAAAAAAAAGTTCATTAAAAAAAGTGACATTAATTTTAATAATAAAGGCTGGGCGTGGTGGCTCACACCTGTAATCGCGGCACTTTGGGAGGCTGAGGCTGGAGAATCACTTGAGCCCAGGAGTTCGAGACCAAACTGGGCAACACAGGGAGACCTTGTCTCTACTAAAAATTAAAAATTAGCCAGGTGTGGCGTTGCACATCTGTAGTTCCAGCTACTCAAGGAGGCTAAGCAGGGAGGATCTTTTGAGCCCAGGAGGTCGAGGCTACAGTGAGTTATGATTATACCACTGCACTTTTTTTTTAAATTTTTTTTTAATAGAGACAAGGTCTCACTATGTTGCCCAGGCTGGTCTTGAACTCCTGGACTCAAGCAATCCTCTCGCCTCAGCCTCCCAAAGTGCTGGAATTATAGGCATGAGCCACCACACCCAGTCCCTTAATTTTTAAAAAATAAAAAAAAGTTTTAAATTATAAAACATTTAAATAATATATTTTATTTAACCCAAATATACACAAATTATTGTCATTTTAACATGTAATCAATATAAACATTTTGACTGAGATATTTTATATTCTTTTTTGTCTTGTACTAAGTCTGAAATCTGGTGTCTAGTTTACAATGACAACACATATCAATTAGGACAAGACACATTTCAATTTCAATGCTCAATAGCCACATACTGCTAGTGGCTACCATATCGGACAAGTCAAGGCCTGGATCTCCGTGATCCCTTGTACAGGGAATCATGCAGCTCCCATCTGGCTCACAACCACATCCCCTCTCCTCTGGGCCCTCTGGGCACCATGTTCTTGCTTCTTGGGGACCCTTAGCCCATCCCCCTAGTTCACTCCCAGGGACTGCCCAGTGAAAACTACCCGGCACCAGAGGGTCAACGTTTTGGGGCTGGCCGGCTCTGATCTACACCCTCCAGCATCATCCCCACGGCCCAGAGAGGGTTGTGTGGGACTATCCTAGAGTGGCAGAGTCAAGGACAGGGGAGGCAGGTTGGGGGAGAGGAGGAGTTGCAGACAGTAGCTCCAGTAGTTTCTGGAGTGGTGAGGGCTTTAGTTAGAAGCAGACTGAGGAGCCTTTAATCCTCTCTGTTACCAGAGAGGAAAATGTGGGTGGCAAGTAAAGTCTTGTCAGGGAAAATACTGGCAGGAAGGTGAGCCACATGCCCGAGTAATCGCCGACTCCACCGCTCTCCTTTGATGTAGCACCTCGGTGCCATGCAGGCCAGGCCAGGCCTGTGACAGACAGGCCCTTCCTGGGCGATTGCAACTGTGTGTGTATGTGTGTGAGTGTGTATCCTGGCTCCTTCTCAAGCTGCAGATGCCCGTCTCTGCATGCCCTCAATCTGACAGCATCCCAAGGGGAGTGAGTCCTAGGTTCATGCTTTCTGAACCTCACATTTAGACATGTGGCCTAAGAAATTAGGAGTGTCACGGAGTGGACCACAGGCTGGGACAGATGATACTGTACTCACCATGCCCGTCCTACTTCCTTGACTGCTGTCTGCTACCTAGTGGAATAGCAGTGGATGAATGAGCACGTGACTGTTCCAGACAGTGGGCAGGCTCGGTCAGCAAAGTAGAAGAGGGCGCTGCAGACAGCAAAGAGCTCCAGTGGAAGTGCTGTTTATGGGCCTGGAACAGTGGAACAGGATGAAGCCTCAATAAGGTCCCATGGGAGGGTGAGAGTCACCCATTTGTAAGAGACAACATTACTGGGGTCCAGTTCTCAGGCCCTTGTGTGGTACCAGGAACTCTGCCAGCTCTAGCCTGATGTTGCCACAATCCCTCAGGCTTTAGAAAAAGGAAGGGAGCTGGCTGATTGATCACTCTTATACAACACTTTACAGTTTACAAAAAACTTTCACCTCTATTACGGTGTAATTCTCCCAACAATTCTATAGTGTTGGCAGGACAGGTATTGTTATCCTTATTTTATAGGTGAGAAAACTGTGGCTCAATGAAGGGAAACACTCTTTCCAGGGGCAGAGCCAAGATCAGCAGGCAGGCTTTTTCACAGAGCTCTCCAGAATCATTGCTCAAGCTGACCTTAGAGCAGGGCTCTTATAATTCGGGGGTCATAAATCCCTTTGGGAGTCTGATTAAAAAAAAAAAAAGCTTTGAATCCTCTTACTGAATAATGGACTTCAAACAGTCCATGACCCCCTTGAAATTTTATAGAAAATATTGTCTGTACAGTTTTTAGAGGGAGGGACTGGGGATGAAGGAAAAAGATCAGATTTTTTTTTTTTTCAAGAGTCTTGCTCTGTTGCCCAGGCTGGAGTGCAGTGGCATGATCTCAGCTCACCACAGCCTCTGCTTCCTGGATTCAAGTGATTCTTCTGCCACGGCCTCCCGAGTAGCTGGGATCACAGGCTGCGCCGTCATGCCCAGCTAATTTTTATATTCTTAGTAGAGACGGGGTTTTGCCATGTTGGCCAGGCTCGTCTCAAACTCCTGACCTCAAGCAGTCCACCTGCCTCGGCCTTCCAAAGTGCTGGGATTACAGATGTGTGCCACTGCACCTGGCCAAAGATCAGATTTTTTTTTTCTAGTCAGAGTCTCACTTTGTCACCTGGACTGGAGTACAGTGGAGTGATCTCAGCTCACTGCAACCTCTGCCTCCTGGGTTCCAGCAATTCTCTTGCTTCAGCCTCCCAAGCAGCTGGGACTACAGGCACACACTGCCAGTCCCGGCTAATTTTATTTATTTAGTTATTTGTATTTTAGTAGAGACGGGGTTTCACCATGTTGCCCAGTCTGGTCTCGAACTCCTGAGCTCAGGCAATCTGCCTGCCTCCGCCTCCCAAAGTGCTAGGATTACAGGCGTGAGCCCCCCAACGTGGCCCAAAGATCAGATTTTTAAGGAAGTCTACGACACCCAAAAGGTTAAGAATTTGTGATCTAGACCAACCTCTTCATTTGACAGATGAGGTAAATGAAGCCGAAAGATGGCCGGTGATTTGCCCAGGACTAGCATCAGAGCAGAAGTGGGACTTGAAATCTGAGTCAGTCTGCCCTTTCACTATACACCAATTATAATGAGGTTTACAGATGCCTGAGCTGCTCCTGGCTCCAGGGAGCCCTAGCTTGGGAAACACCAAGCCCCTACACAATGAGATCCAGATTAAGAATGGATGTGTCATCCCAGCTCCACCGCTAGCCAGCTGCACAACTATCCCGCACTCTCTGCACATCATTTTACCTTCCAGAGTAGCATTTTACCTTCCAGAGAGAAGCATTCCCTGACCTCCCTACTTCTGAGGAACAGTATGAGGAAGCAAGGACATGAAATGTGATGGAGCTCCAGAGATGGGGCAGGGGAGGGGAGGAAGAGGGAAGAACAGAAGACAGCAAGTGGTTGTTCAAAGAGGCTGGGGCTGGGCACTGGATAGATGGGATGGTTTTGTTTTATGCAGCCGTTTCATCTTCTGGGGCTAAATTTCCCCATCCCTCACACTGTAGGTAACGAGTCTCCTCAAACTCTGCCCTTGCATCCTCTGAATTGATCAGGGTCCTTCTTTGTAAAACAAAGCAAATATAAAAACCTGGAATCCTCCCCATCTGGTTTAAGCATGAGAGGATTCAGTAAGGGTATTAAGAGGGCTGAAAAACAGACTAGAGTCTGAGCTTCCAGGATGACTCCCAGAGCCACACTGCAGATCTGGCTGCCAGGGGAGCAGCTGCCTCCGTCAGGAGCAGGAAGTTGCCAGTTCTAACCCATTCTGTGCCTGCTGTGATCTGGTGCCAGCAAAAAGGGAGGACCCCTTCCTGCCATGTCCCTGTCCCTAGGTAACTCTGTTCAGAGACAAAGATTAGCTCAGATTGGTGCGACTAGCACCCCTAGCAGCAACGGAAATGAAAAAATAAGGGCAGTTTTCTTTTGTTTTAGTTTTCATTGGAAAGGTAGGATGCATCCTTGAAAGACTATCAAAATATCAAGAGGGTGTTGAAAACATTTGGGCAGCCATGAATACGTCTATGATAGTGCCCCTTGAGATGCTGGGGACATAGTCCCAGGAGACTTGCTATAACAACTGTATTTTGAGGTCTCTCATTTTAACTTAATTTTTTTTTGAGACAGTGTCTCACTCTGTCACCCAGGCTGGAGTGCAGTGGTGTGATCATGGCTCACTGCAGCCTGGACCTTCTAGGCTCAAGCAATCCTCCCACCTCAGCCTCCCAAGTAGCTGGGACTGCAGGCATATGCCACGACACCCGGCTAATTTTAAAAATTTTTCTGTAGAGATGGGGTTTCACCATGTTACCCAGGCTGGTTTCAAACTCCCAGTCTTAAGGGATCCTCCTGCCTCAGCCCCCTAAAGTGCTGGGATTACAGGCCCCACACCTGGCCTAATTTCAACACATTTTTTAAAAATTCATTGACTTCTGTATTATATGTGTATATATCTCTTATCATCTATCTAGAAATATATATATACATACACACATATACTATTTATAAGCACACATTGTATACATACATGTTTTATTTACCATAATAATCACATTTCTCTAAAAATCAAGTAGAATTGGGGTGTTGAGGAGAATATTTGAAGCTAATCCTTCAGTTTCTCATAACCCTCAGCTACACACACACACACACACACAGGCCCTTAAAGATCTTAGAAGGAAGGGAGGCTAAATGTCCTGGTTTATCTGGAACAGGCCTGGTTTATGCCTATGGGCCCAGCATAATGATTAATAACACACCTACTGTCTCCAAAGTCCTCATTTAAATGATAAATTATATAGTCGTCTTAATCTTGGGGGACACCTGACAGTCCCTGGCTTCTGGGATGTGTTGACAGAAACGAAATTGCAACCTGACCCAGCCAGCCCTTGGGGAAAACTAGGTGGTCAGCTGATTTGTCTTTATTCTCCTATTTTGAGAGGTCGGACCTCCAGGCCCTACCTCACCACCCCCAGCCAGTTGAACTAAGACCTCTGGGGACATGGGCTCCTAAGTCCTGTCCCCTAAGAATCAAGAATGCATAATCACAGATGCTCACACACAGGCTACGGTCCTAGCCAAGCCACGGCCATCTTATTGCTCAAAACTTTCCTCCTCTAGGAACCATCCCTAACACTGATCCACTGTAAATATAAGTCCTTTAGTATATGATGTCCCCACATTGCATAAAACTCACTGAACCTGCTTACATGCCAATTCTGTATGAGTTTGATTATTTCGTTTACTACAGTCCTGCCTTTCCCACCAGACTAGGGATCCCAGGGTTAGGGGGCTATCTACTAGGTATCCCCAAGTGCAGGATTGAGTTCTTCCCCCATCAAACTAGGGGTCTCTAATGGCAGGAACCAGTCTCCCCTATCAGATGAAGCTCCCAAGCACAGGAGTCCTGTAACCTGGAAGACAATCATGTCATCTTCTCTTTACTTCTGCCTTTGCCTTCAGTGCCCAACTTAGGTCCAAGGGAAAGTGTAGGTATGGATCTTGTTCTCCTAACTACCCCGCACCTGGGCTGGGTGAAGGGGTGAGATTTGTTCCTGTGACTCCCTTTCAAAGCAGTTCTGATTTTTCCAGTCTGCCTGGGCCTCCAGGCTGCAGAGTGGACTGACTCGTGCTTAATGAAGCACATTCTCCATCTGTGGTCTGCCCCTCCTGGCAGCTCCAGCTGCCTGGGGCCTGGCTTTGGGGGAAGCAGTAAAGAAGTTCCTTCATCTCAGGCTGCCCCCCACTACAGACACACCAAGGGATCCACTCCCCCAGGCCAGCCCCACCCCACCCATGTTAGGCTAATGAGACCCAGACCCCACACCAGAGCTGTCCTGATTGGGTTGACCTATTTAATTAAAACAGCAGCTTCCAAAAACGGAGGTTCTGCTCCAAGGCTCTGCCCCTGGCCTCAAAGACAGACTCTGGCTGTCTCTGGCCAGCTTGGACTTTGGCACTCCTTCTCAGACCCCGACTTTCTTCTCTCCCTCCCTCCTTCCTTCTCCTCATTTTTCCAACATCTGTGTCCAGAAAGGAAGAAAAACCGTGTTTGGACTGGCCTCCTTCCATCAGTCATTTTTTTCCACTTTCAAACATCTTGTCTAAAGCAGAGTCAGTTACATAAACATTCCACCTCTTTCCATAAATTGGCCGCAGTTACTGAACAATAGCGTTACTGTGCAGGGGAAGAGGGAGCTCAAGGCCACACCCCACAAGTGCTGGTCCCCCAGCCAAATAGAACCAGAGACTCATTCTTTGAAAGAACCAAAGAGGAAATCCAGAATCTTCGGGCGAGACCTTTTCTGCTGTGCTTGGAGTGGTTCCTTTACCAAAGCCCCTCTCTGCTCTGCCCTCCCGGCAGCCATCTTCCATCTCTTAACTTCAAGCTGTTTGAACGGATGCCCAATTTCTGCTTTTTCCTTAACTGCCTGACAGTGTGTGTCACTGTGTGTCCCTGTCCTGAGGGCAGAGTGTGTGGATGATGGAGTTGGTGGTGGTGGTGATGTGTGCCTGTGTGTGTGTGCGTGTGTGTCTTTTGGCAAGATTTTTGGAGGCACGCCCTCAAGATTTTGTTGCCTTTTCTTAAATAGAAGCAGTTAGACCTCACTAATTCAGACCAGTTGGAGAAAAGTCCACAGGGGAAAAAAAGTCTGACTTAACAGAACACAGTTCTTCTTAGGCCCTCTCCCTTCTCCCAAGTGCATCCAGTTACTGGAACTGGACTAACCACATTGGCAGATACAGTTTTGCCAGACTTGCTCCGTGAATAGGTAAAGACCACTTTTTCCATTATCTTGAGTACCTAATTAAATGTGTGGGCCACTCAAGGTGTGAAAATGCGTTTTTTTTTCTTTTCATAGTAGGTCAGATATCTTCAACACTTATATAGTACTTGTCATTGGCTTAGTGAACTGTCTTCTTAGCCAGACTGTATGCTCTTTAAGGACAAGTTCTATATCTGAATCCATTCACTATCCAGTGCCTATTGTAGCTCCAAGCACATAGTAAGTGTGCAAAATAAATGTTGAATAATGGATGGATGGATGGATAAATGGATGGATAGATGAAATTAGTGAAGTGGGAATAGAGGGGTGGAGAAAGAGCCTTGGCAGGGGAAGTTTGAAGGAAGCTTCTATTGACCTCCTTCTGATGAGGAGCAGAAGTAGCAGAGAGCGATGTTAGAGCAAGAGCAAGTAACAGACAGCATTGCCATCAGCTCTCACAGCAAGTGGCAGGAGAAGGGGGAGGCAGAGATGGTTGGAGCTGGGGCTGGGGAAGTGAGTGGTAAAGCAGGAGTAGGAAGGCTATGATTGAATGGGGTTGGTGGGAAGATGTAATTGTGTGAATGGGTCTATGAGCAGCTCTGGTGCTAGAGGCAGATGTGGGTGTGGTAAAAAGAGATTGCTATGGGTAAACTAAGTTGAAAAGGTGCTGTATCAGTTAAGCTGCTTTTGGCTGCAAGTAATAGAAAATTTAGTTCAGTTGGCTTATACTAGTCATTCTCAACTGGGGGCAATTTTACTCCCCAGGGGACATTTCACAAGGTCTGAAGACATTTGTGGTTGTCACAACTGGGATGTGGGGGATAGTCATACTGGTATCTAGTGGGTAGTGGCCAGTGATGCTTCTCAACATACCACAATGCACAGGACCACACATAATGCACAGCTGCCCACAACAAAGTATTATGTGGCCCAAAGTGTCAGTGGTGATGTTGAGAAACCCTGGCTTAAACCAATAAGAAACAATTTATTGTTCCATACAATCAGCAGTTTCAAGGGTGGTCATTTTATGTGTTCATTGAGGAGGTGGGTTCTCCCCACCAGGAGCCTTTGCCTCTGCCATGTATTCGGCCTTTGTTCCCTCAGGGCCACAAGAGACTACAGTGGCTCCAAGTATCACATCCTCACCCAAGAGCATCTTCCTGTCCCTTTATAAAACTCAAATTCCTTTCATGTCTCACTAGCCTTGTGTTTCATGCCTATTCCTCAATCAATCCTGGGCGAGGGGATTGCCATGATTAATTTAATTGACATCCCTCACCCCTATCCCCACACTGACACTGGGGTGTGGAATGTGAAACATGAAGAAAATGTATATTCTGTTAAAAAGAAAATGTATCTTCTGGAGAAAGAAGAGGGTGCTGTGTGGTTCACAACAGGCTCTCCCCAGTGTATTGGGTTCATGAAACTGAGAAATGCAGTCCTGGGCCTCAAGGCTGGAACTTGCTGCTCTGTTACTCACTTTGGATTCACACCTTCGTTCATTCATTCCATAAGCAATAGATATTTACGGAATGCCTGTGCGTGGTGTAAGGGACATAACAGACATGTGGTTCCTGCCGACCTGGAGCTTTCAGTCTTGTAAGGGAGACACTAATCAAATAGTCTCATGGATGATGTGCAATTAAAGACAGAGACAGGCTGGGATTTAAAAGCACATGGAGCAGTGACAGTATATTACAGAAGACATTACAAAGAAGGTGAGGGAGAGTCAGGAAGGGTTTCCTTGGTTGAGCTAAGATCTGAAGAATGCATGAAAATTAGCTTGGTAAAAGACAGGGGGCAGAAGAGATTTCCCGAGAATAGTAACCATGTCTGCACATCCCTCTGTGGGGAGAAGCTCAGTGCAATCCAGGAACTGTCACAGTGGAGTGCAGAGCAGAGATCCAGGGGAGGACAGCAGGGATTTTGAGAGGTTAGGCAAGGGCCGAATCTCGTAGGGTTTGCTCATGTTAAGGATTTTTGTCTTGGTCTTACGAGCAAGGAAAATTCATTCAGGTGTCCCAAACAAGGATCTTTTTTTTTTTTAAGTGTTTAAAGTTTGTAATTCCTAGTAGGAAAACATTATCTGAACGAATACCCTAATGGCAAACCACTGTACATGCTTCAGCTGCACTGGGGGAGAGGGGTAGGGGATTATCTTCAAAGCACCCCAGCTCTCTTGATGAGAAGGTCAGAGGTACACTGGTTTGTATCATTGCGACATCCATAAGGTGATGTAGGTTGCTTTCCCTTCAGCAAGGGCTTTATTTATCAGAAGGACATTATGCTTGACCTCCAAATTTGGCTGACAATTTACTGATAAGATTCATAAACTTTGGGTTGTTCTGGTATTGTGACATATTTGCTAGGTGCTGAGCCACATCCTGGAAGGCTGCCATAACTTCTGGATCCTGCATGGCTGCAAGAACCTCTGGATGACCAAGAATTTCATTGATTCCAGGCATTCTGGCCATTCATTCCAGGCATGCCCCCTCCCATTCCAGGCATTCCTCCGGGAAAATTACCAGGCATTCCCCCAGGAAAGCCACCTGGAAAAGAGCCATACTGAGCTCCTGACTGTCGTCTGGCTTCTTCCTCCCTCTGGGCTCTCTCATGCTCTTCTCGAGCCTTCTTAACTCTTTCTATTCTTTCTTTGATCTCTCGCTCTTCACGTTTTCGCTCATACTTTCTCCAGTGTTCTGCAATTGTGCCCTAGGTTGAACTTCTTTTAGCATTGCACTAACATCTTCATCATAATCCAATTTACAGGCAAGAGCAAGATCATGGGCTGCTTCTTCTCAGTGGCCTATAAGTCTGTGTGCTTTCCCGCCGGGCGCGGTGGCTCACGCCTGTAATCCCAGCACTTAGGGAGGCCGAGATGGGCGGATCACGAGGTCAGGAGATCGAGACCATCCTGGCTAACATGGTGAAACCCCGTCTCTACTTAAAATACAAAAAATTAGCCGGGGGTAGTGGCCGGCGCCTGTAGTCCCAGCTACTTGGGAGGCTGAGGCAGGAGAATGGCATGAACCCGAGAGGCGGAGGTTGCAGTGAGCAGAGATTGCGCCACTGCACTCCAGCCTGGGCGACAAAGCGAGACTCTGTCTCAAACAAAACAAAACAAAACAAAAAACAAAAAAATTAGCCCGGGGTGATGGCGGGCGCCTGTAGTCTCAGCTATTCCGGAGGCTCAGGCAGGAGAATGGCGTGAACCCGGGAGGTGGAGCTTGCAGTGAGTCAAGATTGCGCCACTGCACTCCAGCCTGGGCTACAGAGCAAGACTCCGTCTCAAAAAAAAAAAAAAAAAAAAAAGAAGTTTGTGTGCTTTCCCTCGCCACTTGTAAGGCTGAGCTGAATCGGGATTTATTTCAATGGCTCTGTCACAGTCTCAGATGGCAGCATTTGGCTTCTGTAATTTGACGAAGACACTGGCCCTCTTGGCATACAAAATGGCCAAGCAAGGATTCAGCTTGATGGCATCTGTGAATAAGTCAATGGCTTTCTGCAGTTTACCATCATTTAGGGCTCAATGGCAGCCACTTTCTTATCATTTGCCTGATCCCTCATCTCCTCTGTTATCTCTGCATTTTCATCTCCCATTTCTTGAGGGGCATCAGTGTCTGGTTCAATCACACCTTCATTATCAATTTCTAGATCACTTTCCTCACTTGGTTCGTCTGCCTTTAAGTCTTCCTCCACCTTCTTACTATCAGGTTTTTCTTCCTTGGTATTTTCTTCTGATTTAGCTTTCTGAGTAGCAGGTGGTACTTTACCCGCCATGCTCTCCACCCACTCTCTCAGGAAGCGCATTTCCTTGGTGTATGGAACACTCAGATCCTGTTTACACATTTTCACAAAGGCCCGAAGTTCATTCGCTTTGTGGGGGTCCGTGGTCCGGAGGCGGTCGGCGAAGCTGAGGGGCTGCAGCCCGGTTCCAGGCTCTGGCTCCGCGTGACCGCGCAGAAACGGGCTTTTTTTTTCTTTTTTTGAAACAGAGTCTCGCTCTATCACTCAGGCTGGAGTGCAATGGTGCGATCTCGGCTCACTGCAGCCTCCACCTCCTGGGTTCAAGAGAGTCTCCTGCCTCAGCCTCCCGAGTAGCTGGGATTACAGGCACAGGCCACCACGCCCAGCTAATTTCCAAATAAGGATCATTTTGATTGCAGTGTGAAGAACAAAGTGGAGAGAAGCAGGCTAGATTTGGGAAGACAAGAAACTACTGCAGGGGTGCAAGCAGGTGAGGTGGGATGGTGGGTTGGATCAGGGCGAAGGTGGGAATGTAGAGAGGTTGTGAGATTTAAGATACATTTGGCCAGACACCGTGGCTCAGGCCTGGAGTCCCAGTACTTCGGGAGGCCAAGGCAGGTAGACTGCTTGAGGCCAGGAGTTTGAGACCAGCCTGGCCAACATGGCAAAACCCTGTCTCTACTAAAAATACAAAAATTAGCCAGGTGTGGTGGCACGTGCTGTAATCCCAGCTCCTCAGGAGGCTGAGGCAGGAGAATTGCTTGAACCTGGGAGGTGAAGATTGCAGTGAGCTGAGATCATGCCACTGTACTCCAGCCTGGGAGACAGAGCAAGACTCTGTCTCAAAAAAAAAAAAAAAAAAAAAAAAAAAGAGAGACATTTAAAAGGTAAAATTGACCAAATTTATTGATGGATTTCTTGTGGACCAGTGGGGAAAAGAAAGGGTTAAGGACGGATTCCTAAATTTCTGGATTCAGAAAATGGTTGGAAGGTAGAGCCATTTATTAAGAAAGAAAACAGTGGAAAAGGATCAGAACTCTGGGAAAATTAGAGTTCAGTTTTCGTCGTGGTGAGATCACAGCTCCCTTGAGACATCCAAGTGGAGATGCTGAGCAGGCAATTCGATATATGGATCCAGAGATCAAAGGAGAAGACTGCGTTGAAAATATACATTTAGAGAATATCGGCATACAGATGGTATAGTGGGTGTCTATCACCAAGTAACAAATTACCTCAACACTTGGTGACTTCAAACAACAGCCATTTATTATCTCTTACGGTTTTGTTGTATTGAGACTTTGGACAGTGCATGGAGGGGATGACTTTGTTCTACAGTGTCTGAGGTCTCAGCTGGGAGACTCAATGGCTGGGACCTGAAACTATGTATATTTTTTTCTTTCTTTTATTTTATTTATTTATTTATTTATTTTTATTATTATTTTTTTTTTGAGACAGAGTCTCACTCTGTCGCCCAGGCTGGAGTGCAGTGGTGCGATCTCGGCTCACTGCAAGCTCCACCTCCTGGGATCAAGTGATTGGTTCTTCAGCCTCAGCCTCCCGAGTAGCTGGGACTACAGGTGCCCGCCAGCATACCCAGCTAATTTTTTGTGTTTTTAGTAGAGACGGGGTTTCACCATATTGGCTAGGCTGGTCTTGAACTCTTGACCTCGTGATCTGCCCACCTTGGCCTCCCGAAGTGCTGGGATTACAGGCGTGAGCCACCACGCCTGGCCTATATGATATTAATGTTGGCTGCTGGCTGAGAGCTTAGCTAGAGTCGTTGGCTGCCAACACCCACATATGGCCTCTCTACGTGGCCTGGGCTTCCTCAGCACAGGATGGATTGCTTCTAAAATCAAGAAACCCAAGAGAGAGATCCAAGTGGAAACTGAATTCTTCAAATGACCTAACCTCTGAATTCATACAGCGTTACTTCCATTTGACCAAAGAAGTCATAAGCTGCCAGGAAGATTCAAGGGGAGGAAACTTAGACCCTACTTCTTGGTGGAAGAGTGTCAGTTATGTTTTAAGAGGAGTATGTGGGATGGGATAAATATATAGGTGTGACCATTCTTGGACAATACTATGAGCCACAGATGGTGGTAACAAATAAGGTGTCCCAAACAAAAACAATATGGATGAGAAGAGGAGAGTGTCTAGGATGGAGATTTGGAGTTATCTTACATTATAAAGAAGAAGAGTCTAAAAAAAAAAGGCAGAGAAGAAGCAGACAGGGAGTAGAAGGAAAACCAGAGAGCATGGCGTCGCAGAAGCCACGGAAAGAAAGTTCACTCATTTATTCACTGAGTATTTATCAGGCACCTACTGTATTTATCAGGCACTTATACCAGACTGTTCTAGGTTCTGGGACTGTACTAATGAATGCAAAATTCCTTGACTTCATGATTATTACATTCTAGAAGAGAACTATCCAGTTAGTTGAAGACTGAAAAAAAAATGTGCCTTGGACATAGTCACTTGAAGGTCAATGGTGATCTTCATGAAAATGGCTTTTATAAGAAATGGGGACCAAGCATGATGGCTCATGCCTATAATCCCAGCACTTTGGGAGGCTGAGGCAGGAGGACTGCTTGAGCCCAGGAGTTTGAGATCAGTCTGGGCAACATAGCAAGACCACATCTCTATAAAAAGTAACAAAAAATTAGCCAGGCATGGTGACGTGTGCCTGTGGTCCCAGCTAGTTGGGAGGCTGAAGCAGGAGGATAGCTTGAGTCTTGGAGGTCGAGGCCATAGTGAGCAGAGATCATGCCACTGCACTCCAGCCTGGATGACAAAGTGAGACCCTGTCTCAAGAAAAGAAAAGAAATGGAACAGAAGCCAGATTGGGTGGGTTGAGGAATCAATTGGAGATGGGGAGTATAAAAAATGGATTGGGGAGGTAAAGGCAGCTATGGGGCTCTGAGGATAAAGACAAAACCCCTGACAGGGCATTTCCACTTCTCTGTAGCATGTCCTATTATCAGGCTGCATTGGAAGGGGCTGAAGCCCCACTGTGACTGGCAAGGGACCTGCATCATTTTTTTCTGCGCTCCGCTCAGCATTGTTCAGGAGTAACCAAGAATGTGCTGCCTTGTGCAGTTCCAGCCTCCAACCCTTAGTCACAGCTCTGTCATCTCCTGCACCTTCATGGATTCTTTCCTGGATTGTTTCTTTGTTGCTGCTAAACTCCGTCCTGAGCTTGCAGCCCAGATTCTAGCCACGTTGATCTCCTCACAAGCTATGCCTGAACTCCCCTCCTTCCTTCTATCTATCCCTTTCACTATTTGAGTTCACTTCAAAACTCCTTCTCCATGAAGAAGGACCCACGCCAGCCCTCATGGATGCTCTTACCCACTGAAGGCTGCACTGAGCTCAGCTCTGCACCATGCACGGTTCTGGCTGGCCTGTGATGTTTGCGTCTTAATCTCCCACACCACAGGTAACTTATTTGAAAGCAGACCAGGGTGGAGATGTTTCCTATGTCTTTACAGTGTCCCCGAGGCAAGCTCGATATTGGACTAAGTAAATAGCAGGGGCCCAATATCTGTTGCATCTGTTGAATGACTTGATGCAGAGCCTACCTGAGCCCTCCCACACTTGCCCCAGACGACCTGCTCTGTGAGCCTGTAGCAGTAGCTGAATACAGGATAGGAATGGGGGCTGCTTTTCTCAAGACTCTGCTTGCAGAGCTCCTGGGGAATAAACAGCAGGAGAGGCCCTCTCTCTACTCAAGAATCTGAGTTCAATCTGGGGATAGAGGAAGAGGGTTATAGTTCCCCATCCCCATAAGCACCCCCAGATAAATCAAAGAGAACACACCAGCCCACAGCAGTAGCTGAACAAGCCCATTTAGGTATGGCAAATAGATAACAGAATAAAAGACTGACTGAGGCAGGATGATCTTCTCTGGTAGAGTTTTATCCAAGTGAAAGGTCTTAAGCTTGATGTGGGAGACATACAAATGCCACTTGTTAGCCATACCACCTTGTACAAATCACATAAACCCCTCTGAGCCTCCGTTTCCCAACCTTTTTTTTTTTTAGAAGCTGAGTCTTGCTATGTTACCTTGGCTGGACTAGTGGTGGACTCACTGCAGCCTCAAAATCCTAGGCTAAAGGGATCCTCCTGCTCAGCCTCCTGAGTCACTGGATTACAGACATGAGCCACCGTGTCCAGCTCCCAAGTTTTCTAATCTTTAAAATTGGAATAATAATACCCACCACAGGCTGGACATGGCGGCTCACACCTGTAATCCCAGCACTTTGGGAGGCTGAGGAGAGAGGATTGCTTGAGCCCAGGAGTTTGAGATCAGCCTAGGGAACAAAGCGAGACTCTGTCTCTACAAATAATAATAATAATAATAATACCTACCACATAGAATTGCTAGGAGAAGTAAATGAGATAATGTACAGTTGGTCCTGTTAGTTGTGACCTCTGTATTTGCAAATTTGCCTACTCACAAAAATGTATTTGTAACCCTCAAATCAATATTTACAATGTTTTTGGGGTCATTTGCAGACATGCACAGAGCAGCAGAAATTCAAATCACGTTCCCAGCTGAGGCTGGATAAGGCATGCTCTTCCTTCTTCTTTCAGCCCTCATGCTGTAAACAAATGCCCTTTTTGCAGTCTATTTAGTGCCATGGTTTTGGCATTTTTTGTGCTTTTTCTTGGTGATTTCACTGTCTAAAATGGTCCCCAAGCATAGCACTGAAGTGGTGTCTCCTGCTCCTAAGCACAAGAAGACTGTGATGAGATTTACTGAGAAAAGAAGTCTGTTAGATAAGCTTTGTTCAGGCCGAAATGATAGTGTTGTGGGCTGTGAGTTCAATGTTAATGAATCAATGATACATACTTCATAGAAGCTCATAAAACAAGGCTATGTATTGATTGGTTAATGAAAATGTTCTGACCAGAGGTTCGAGGTCTGCAGTGATTTTGTAGGGCGTAAGTACCCTAAGTAATGAGAATGGGCAGTATGTAGAAGTGCCTATATAGTGCATGGTGTAGACGAGACGCATTGAGAAGTGCTGACTCCTGAACTTGGTGAGAAGATGGCAGAAAGCACTCCAAGCAGTTTCTTTCCATGGTTGTTTGTGCTTTGCCGGGAATTTGGATCCTGTAAGAGTCAAACAATTTTTGCTCATAAGTTTCTGTCCCTTTGCATCCATTGAGGTACAGAGTTAAAAAAAAAAAAAAAAGTTTCTGTCTTATTTCTCTTGTATCCTGTGGGCGACTCATGTTTCTGCCCCAGACAGGGAGCTTAGGCAGGGGCTGAGTCTCCAAAAGGACTATGTCTCTTGCCTTCTTTGTGTTTTCTACCCTCCTTCTTGTTTGACACCCAGAGGTCCCAACTATCTTGTGTTTCAGTGGTTACTCTCACTGTGGTTCATCCTGGGGTGGGTGGAGGAGCAAAAGCCCTGTCTGGATCCCCGTTCCCCTGCAGGGTGACAGAGAAGTCTCTAAGCCCCGGCCATGGGGGAAAATGTGGGGGCGGGGGAAGGGGGACCCTGACCACCAGCTTTCCCCCCATAGGAAAGGCCCTCCCCTATTGGGCTACTGTCTTTTCCCAGGTGGGGACGAAAGCAGCAAGAACTAAGAAAAAGGAGTAGAGGTTTTCTCCACACATGGGTCTGATTAGACTCTCATTCCTGAGGCTCTCTGGGCTTGAACACTTTCTCTCCAGGAAGCCAGACAGCCAGTTAGAGAAAATCTGCAAACCTGCACTGAGGCCAGGCTTCAGGAGGCAGCCCCGGGTGGGATGGAAGGGACGGGAGGGCTGTGGGCACTTGATCTTTATCACAGCCCTCAGCCTCCCGGCCTCCTGCCAGCTCCCATAGCCCCTGGCCAGGATCCTCCAAGAATTCAGAGCCTGAGGATTGTGTTACCTTCTGAATTCCATTAGCACAGGCCAGCTGGGGGCGGGGATGGGGGCTGGCTAGGGCTTACCTGAGGAGTCGTTTGGTGCCAAGCAGGCGCCTTGGGTCACTTGTTTCTGCCTTTCCAGCTTTGATTCCCCCTTTGCCTTCATTCTCTCACGTTCTCTGCAGGGAAGGACATGAATTGTGTATATGTTAATATAAACAAAAAAAGATAGGGGTTTTTCAGATGTTCATAGGGAAGAGAAGTTAACGATGATACTAATAATAGCAAAACTGTGTGCCAGACACTGTTCTAATTGCTTATATGTATACAGTCCTGCATTGTTTAACAAAGGGGATATGTTCTGAGAAATGTGTCATTAGGCGATTTCATTGTTAGGCGATTTCACCATTGTGTAAACATCATAGAGTGTACTTGCACAAACCTAGATGGTAGAGCCTACTACACACCTAGGGTGCATGGTATAGCCTATCTCTCTTAGGCTACAAACCTGTACAGAATGTTACTGTACTGAATACCATAGGCGATTGTAACATAGGCAATGGTAAGCTCTAGAATGCCACAGGCAATTGTAAGTGTTTTTTGTATGTAAACTTATCTAAACATAGAAAAGGCATAGTAAAAATACAGTATAAAAGATAAATGATGGTAGACTTGTATAGGGTACTCACTGTGAAAGGAGCTTGCAGGACTGGAAGTTGCTCTGGGTGAGTCAGTGAACGAGTGGTGAGTGAATGTGAGGGCCTAAGACTGTGCACTACTGTAGACTTTATAAGCACTGTACACCTAGGTTGCAATAAATTTATAAACAATATTTTTCTTTCATCAATAACAAATTAACCTTAGCTTGCTGTAACTTTTTTACCTAATAAACTTTGAAAAATTTTAAAACCTTTTTGACTCCTTTGTATTAACACTTAGCTTAAAACACACATTGTACGGCTATACACAAATTTTTCTTTGTATATTTGTTTCCTTATGTCATTATTCTATATGCTTTTTTCTATTTTTATATAACTTTTTTGTTAAAAACTAAAACACAAACATACACATTAGCCTAGGTCTACACAGGGTCAAGAACCACCTCCATATCTTGTCCAACTGGAAAGTTTTTTGTTTTTGTTTTTTTTGTTTGTTTGTTTGTTTTTTGAGACAGAGTTTTGCCCTGTTGCCCAGGCTGGAGTGCAGTGGTGTGACCTCAGCTCACTGCAACCTCTGCCTCCCAGGCTCAGGCAATCCTCCCACATCAACCTCCCAAGTAGCTGGGACTACAGGCCTGTGCCACCACACTGGCCTAATTTTTGTGTAATTTGTAGAGATAGGTGTCTCACCATGTTGCTCAGGCTGGTCTCAAATTCCTGGGCTCAAACAATCCACCCACCTTGGCCTCCCAAAGTGCCAGGATTATAGGCATAAGCCACCACGCCCGGCCCCATTGGAAGGTCTTTGGGGGCAATAGTTGTCTCCTGTGATAACAATGCCTTCTTCTGTAATATCTCCTGAAGGACCTCCCTAAGGCTGTTTTACAGTTAGCTATTTTAAAATAAGTATAAGGTGCATACTCTAAAATAATGATAAATAGTATCGTAAATACATAAACCACTAACATAGTTGTTTATTATCATTATCAGTTATTATGTATTGTACATCGTTGTATGCTTTTATACTAGTAGGTTTGTTTACACCAGCACATGAGTAATGCATTGCGCTACAATGTTACATCGGCTACCATGTCACTAAGTGATAGGAATTTTTCATCTCCATTATAATCTTATGGGACTACCCTCATATATATGGGTGGGTCATATATCCTTGACCAAAACATCATTCTTTATGTGGTGCATGACTCTATTAGCACATTTAAAAATCAAAATATCTCTATTTTACAGATGAGGAGATTGAGGCAGAACTGTGTTGGACTACAGTTTCTTCATAACCTTAAAGAAGTTAGACAAAATGAATCTAAAGTAACTTCCGGCAGAGCGCGGCCGAATGATCTCCGCTCACTGCAATGCTAGGCTCATGCTTGTAATCCTAGCACTTTGGGAGGCTTAGGCAGGCGGATCCCTTGAGCCCAGGAGTTCAAGAGAGCCCAGGAGTTCGAGACCAGCCTGGGCAACATGGCGAAACCCCATCTCTACCAAAAACACAAAGATTAGCCAGCCATGATGGCGAATGCCTGTAGTCCCAACTACTTGGGAGGCTGAGGTGAAAGGATTGCTTGAGTCTGGGAGGCGGGTATTGCAGTGAGCTGAGATGACACCACTGCACTCCAGACTGGACAACAAGCCAGATCCTGTCTCAAAAAAAAAAAAAAAGAGTAACTTTCATGTTCATTTTTCATTTGTTTTTCTTTTTCTTGGTCTCTTTCCATAACAAGAAGGAGGAAAAGGAAACAGAAAGAAGAATTTATTTAATCTTTACTACACTGGGCTCTATAACAATGGCAGCAAACTGTGTTTTCAAGAGCCAGAAAGTAAATATTTTAGGCTTTGTGATCCATACAATGTCTGTCATAACTATTCAGCTCTGTCATTGTAGCACCAAAGCAGCCAGATACAATATGTGGACCAGCCTGTGTAGCTGTACTTCAATAAAACTTCACTTAACTAAACAGGCAGAGGGCTGGATTTGGCCCTCTGACCTGTTGCTTTATAAGATTACCCAGGCAGGGGTCCTGCCCTCAGAAAGCTCACCTTCTGCTCCAGGCTTCACTGTGAGATATATGAAGGTGACTGACATATTCCATTTGTTCGTGCAAAACTACATATACATGTGGACACACACACATGCTCATACACACATGCACATAGTGTTCCCCAGCTTTACATGTATTTACACACACCACAGGCCTCTTTTACACATTGCCTGGTGGTTTACATCTCCAAAAGGAATAGTCCTGCTGGGCATTCACGATGTTCTAAGCCCTATGATCAGTGATTTTCATGTTTTCTCAGGTCACCCTTCCCACAGTTTCGTCCATAGGAATTTTGGTCCCTGTATTAGTTTGTTAGGGCTACCATAACAGAGTACCACAAACTGGGTGGATTAAACAACAGAAATGTATTTTCTCACAATTCTGGAGGCTAGAAGCTTGAGAACAAGTTGTCAGTAGGAGCCAGGCGTGGTGGCTCATACCTGTAATTCCAGCACTTTGGGAGGCGAAGGTGGGGAAATCATTTGAGCCCAGGAATTCGAGACGAGCCTGGGCAGCAAAGTGAGACCCTGCCTCTACAAAAACATTTTAAAAATTGTCTGGGTGTGGTGGTCTGCACCTGTAGTCCCAGCTACTTGGGAGGCTGAGGTGGGAGGATCACTTGAGCCCAGGAGTTTGAGGCCACAGTGAGCTACGATCACACCACTGTATTCCAGCCTGGGCAACAGAGTGAAACTCCATCTTAAAATAACTAACTAAACAAGGCTGGGTGCAGTGGCTCATGCCTGTAATTCCAGCACTTTGAAAGGCTGAGGTGGGTGAATTCACTTAAGCCCAGGAGTTCAAGACCAGCCTGGCAAACATGGTGAAAACCCATCTCTCCTAAAAATACAAAAATTAGGCCAGTGTGGTTGCACACGCCTGTAGTTCCAGCTACTTGGGAGGCTGAGGCAGGAGGATCACTTGATCCTGGGAGGCAGACGTTGCAGTGATCTGATGGAGTGAGACCCTGTCTCAATAAATATAAATTAATTAATTAATTAATTAATGGTGTCAGCAGGGTTGGATTCTCCTGAGGTTTCTCTTCTTGGCTTGTGGATGGCCTT
This sequence comes from Homo sapiens, assembly GCF_000001405.40. Lineage (NCBI taxonomy): Eukaryota > Metazoa > Chordata > Mammalia > Primates > Hominidae > Homo > Homo sapiens. The sequence goes on from NC_000001.11 coordinate 210,276,744, forward strand.
TTCCTCTTTGTATCTTCATATGGTTTTCTCTCTCTGTGTCTGCTATGGTCTGAATGTTTGTGTTTCCCCAAAATTCATGTTCCTATCCTAATCCCCAGTGTGATGGTATTAGGATGTAGGGCTTTTAGGAGGTGATTAAGTCACGAGGGCAGAGCCCTCGTGAATGGAATTAGTTCCCTTATACAAGAAACCCCATCCCTTCCACCATATGAAGACACAGCAAGAAGGTGCCATCTATGGTGAAAGGGACCTCACCAGACACTGAATTTTCTGGAGACTTGATCATGGACTTCCTACCCTCCAGAACTGTGAGAAATAAATATTTGATCTCGATAAGCCACCTAGCCTTGTGGTATTTTGTTATAGCAGCCCAAACGGACTGAGACAGTGTCTGTGTCCTTATCTCCTTTTGTTATAAGGACACCTGTCATGTTGCATTAGGGCCTACCCATATGATCTCATTTTAAATGACCCTTTTAAAGACCCTGTCTCCAAATGGTGCCATTCTAAGGTACTGGGGGACAGGGCCGCAACACATAAATTTCTGGGGGATACGAGTCAACCCACAACAATCCCATTTACAGAAAAGATAACAGAAAAGACACTGAGAGGCCAAGTAATTGGCCCATGGTCACAGAGCAATTTGATTGCCTGACTTCAAAGCCCATGTTGCTGCATGTATTAGTAGTTCATTCCTGTTTATTGTTGAGTAGTATTCTATTGGATGCATACATTATGTTTTCTTCTTATGCATTAATTTTTTTAATTTTTTTTATTTTTTGGAGATGGAGTTTCACTCTTGTCATCCAGGCTGGAGTGCAATGGTCTGATCTCAGCTCACTGCAACCTTTGCCTCCCAGGTTCAAGCAATTCTCCTGCCTCAGCCTCCCAAGTACCTGGGATTACAGGTATGCACCACCACATCCGGATAATTTTTGTATCATTAGTAGAGATGGGGTTTCACCATGTAGGCCAGGCTGGTCTTGAACTCCTGACTTCAGGTGATCCACCCGCCTCAGCCACCCAAAGTGCTGGGATTACTGGTGTGCACCACCTTGCGCCCAGCCATGCATTTTTAAATTGATGAACATTTATGTTATTTCCAGACTATTAGGAATAAAGTCACTGTGAGCATTATTATACCAGTCTTTTTGTGGCTGTAACTCTAATTTCTCTTGCCTAAATACCTAGGAGTCTAATTGCTGAGTGATAGAATAGGTGAAACATTTAACTTTGTAAGAAACTGCCAAACAGTTTTCCAAAGTGCTTATTCTATTTTCACTTTTATCAGCAATGTATGAGATATCTGGTTGTTCCTTGTCATCATCAACATGGAGTTGTTTTTCCCTTTGCTATTGAGTTGGAGTTCGTGTGTGTGTGTGTGTGTGTGTGTGTGTGTGTGTGTGTGTGTGTGTGTGATCCTTTGTTGAAGAGATTGATTTCCGGTATGATGATTTGGGAAGCTCCAGTGAAAATGATGAAAATCACTTTTTTAAAACCCCAAACACTTAAAGGCTCTGGAAACATGCCTAAGGGCATACAGCAAATGAAGAAATATCTATTAAAGAAAATCTACAAATATCTGGTAAGAAAAATGATAATCTATTGTATATGAACAATTGTTTCTTTGTAGAAATTGACAAGCGAATTCTCAAATTCATAAGGATTTGCAGAGGACCCAGAATAGCTATAACAATCTTGAGAAAGAATCTTGGCTGGGTGTGGTGGCTCACACCTGTAATCCCAGCACTTTGAGAGACTGAGGTGGGCGGGTCAAAAAAAAAAAATACAGGTCACAAAGACTTTGCTGCTAAAACAGGCTGCGGTAAAGAATCCAGGCAAAACCCACCAAAACCAAGAGGGCAATAAAAGTGACCTCTGGTTGTCCTCATTGCTCATTATACGCTAATTATAATGCATTTTAATGCTAAAAGACACTCCTCCCAGCACCATAACAGTTTACAAATGCCATGGCAACATCAGGAAGTTACCCTATATGGTCTAAAAAGGGTAGAAACCTTCAGTTTTGGGATTTGCCTACCCCTTTCCCTGAAAACTCATGAATAATCCACCCCTTGTTTAGCATATAATCAAGAAATAACCATAAAAATAGCCAACCAGCAGCTCTCAGGGCTTCTCTGCCTATGGAGTAGCCATTCTTTATTCCTTTATTTTCCTAATCAACTTGCTTTCACTTTACTCTATGGATTTGCCTCGAATTGTTTCTTGCACAAGATCCAAGAATGCTCTCTTGGGGTCTAGATCAGGACCCCTTTCCTGTAACACAGGATAAGTGCTCTCCCCTCTCTCTGTGGGACGAGGGCCCACTGAGTACTTTTCCTAGAGGGAGGTAAGGAAACAAAGGATTTTCCTTAGGGAAATGGCCCAAACACCTTGTGGGCCATAACCAAACGTTGGTAAGTACACTCTGATGGTACTTATAGAACCTGACACAGGGTTTCACTAGCTAAGGAATTATTTTGGTTCCACCCATAGTGGAAACAATAGAAGTAACCCTGTTGTGATTGGCAGTCCCAAGGGGGCCTTGTGTCTTTGGATGGAATTTATAGATGGCTCTTTGCTGACCAGAGTTCATCATAATGGGTAGGGGAAGGGCTGAGTGCATAAGACTGGCGTTGGTTGAGTCTTTGAACCAGTAAAATGGCTCCCTTTAGATGTGGGAGCCTGACAACCAAAATTAGTGACTGAAGCATAAGTTTCAAATCATCAAGGTTTATTAAGCCAGCTTGAGGGTGCGCCCAGGAAAAATGAGAGTCACAGACACATCTGCAGCTCTTTTTTTCCAAAGAGGTTCTCAGGAGGTTTGATATTTATACATTTTCCTTAAAAAAGGAATGGGAGCAGTGAGAGGAATTACTACATATTTGTCAGACTTTAGTTAGTGCCCAGGAAATCTACATTTTACATAATAAAAGGTGAACATTTGAAGAGAAGAGGAATAGAGGAAGCAGATGTCTCAGAGAAGGGTGAAGAAGCGACTAATCTCATCTCGTCTTTGTTCTATACCTGGGAAGATAAGTTAGTCATTGACATTATCAGCGTGGAGTCTTTCGAAAGAGCTGGTTTCTGTGTAGCCCTTAGGGAAGAAAGCCTAATGGCAGTTATCAAGGGAGCAGATGTAATGAGGTATGTCCAACCTTCTATAGCATCATGGCCAGGACTTAGCTTCCAAGGTTTCTCTGGGGTCCCCTTGGCCAAGAGGGGATCACTTCAGTCAGCTAGGGCCTTGGAATTTTATTTTTTATTTCTCAGGTCTCAGTAAGGCAACCTGGGGAAGAGTCATTCCCCACCTGGGGATTCTTGAAGACACATGTTAGATATAAATGAGGCTTGGTGAGAAGGGGGGATGACAGGAGTCTTGGGGACCTGCCTGGGTATCATCTTTCCTACTCTGAACTTGTCCGTGTGAGGAAGCACCCAAGGACCAACACGGAGATGATATCTGCCTTTAGGTCCCTCAGCCCAGATCCACGGTGGAGGCAGAATTAATTAAGGTGTGAGTTGGTGACTCCCTCCCCGCATTTCCCCATCATCCTGTCTCTCCTTTGCCCAAGACAAAGCCCTCTTTTAAAGGCTAGGAGCTTCTGCTACTATGAGAATGTGAGAGGAGAAAGGAAGAAACCAGTCAGGCAGGCAGTTAGGGTGGGTCCTCAGTTAAATTCTTTCAAACAAAAGAACAGCCTGAAAAATCAAGCTGCAGGCAAAGATGAGGAAATTTGCACAGGGGGTCGTGCCTAAGACATTCCCACAGCTGCACAGATAAGAACAACTGCACAGGTGACTTGCCCAGATGTGCTTGCAATGGAAAATTCCGTCCTTTAACACATATGCGTAAGGGGAACAAAACAATATGGAGTAACTCAAGCTAAGGGCTCCCATGCGCATTAGGAGAATGAGGTGGAGCTACCAGAAATTTGTGCCTTATGTACATGAGAGGCCTAGCCCTTATCAGTTTCTTATAAAAGGCTTTATATTCAACTATAAAAATGGCAACCCATTCGGGACCCCTCTCTGCTGTGGAGAGCTTTCTTCTTTCGCTTATTAAACTTTCACTCCAACTTCATCCTTTGTGTTCATGCTCCTTAATTCTCTTGGTTGTGAGACAAAGAACTTGGGGTGATACCTCACAATGAGAGACTGCTACATTGTGGTACATTGCTGAGACTGTAACAAAAGCAGCCTTTGCTTACTACATATTTCATCAAGAGGAACTTACATATTTATTATAAGGTTTTTACTTTTAAGGACTGAATCCCAGTATCATGTCTCTGCTCAGTGCTACAGGAAAGCAAGTGGCATCCAGGCAGAGCCTGTGGAGATCTATCACTGTGGGGCCAATTTAACCTGCAGTAAAGAGGCTTGTGCATTTGAGCTTTATAGTAACAGCCTTCAAATGCTAGTTCCATGTCCATGGAACACAAATGACCATGTGTCTGAGAAAGAGTTTGGGCATGCAATGTAGCAGCTTCATGTGAGGAATTGTATTTGTCAAACTAAGGCAGCCTAAACTGTTGGAACTTATGCTTGATTTAAGGGAGTTGATGATGTAGGCAGGGGAGACAACCCAGAGAGCTCATCTGCAGTCCACAGACCTCCTAAAGAATCCATAAGTGGAGCTCTGTCTCAATATAATTGGTTTCCTAGGTAATCCTATACATTTTATCTTATGTATTTAAAGACACTATTCAGAGAAGGGGTCCATAGGCTTTACTAGTTTGTCAAAGTCATCTATGGCACCAAAAAGACTCAAAGAATAAGAACCTAGTACCTCTCTCTCCTTTCTCCTCTCTTTTCCCTTTTCTTTTCTCCATCTCCTTTCTCAGTTTTTATAGCAGGGCAATTATAAGACAAAAAAGCCCGCTGTTACTAACACTGATCCCTCTTCACAGCATACTTTTGATATGTTTGTTTAAAAATCTACATTCCTATCAGGAGAGGAGTGGGGAAAGACAAAGGAGATGACCTAATTTTTAGTTTCTAGTGAGGAAGGGATCCATTGTGTGGTTTATTTATACCCAGTTCCCTCCAGAAAAGCCTTGGGACAAATATAAACATTTCAACATATGTAAACCTATGTTTTAGGCATTAAACAGCAGGAGAGAGAGCAGGGAGTGATCCTGGGGTGCTTGCACAGACCTTGCTCAGCTGTGGAAATCAGCATTAGCATTTGGCTCTATTCCAAAAAGCTCCTTCATCACCTTCAGAGCATATCTCAGAATCTAATAATAATTTAAGTGAGTATTTTTGTCAAACTTTAAAAGCTTGGCACGTTCTGTCCTTTAATATCTTCCCTCAGAAAAGGAAAGCTGCTTAATAAGTCTCAATGGCAATGGATGGAATCATTAATCAAGAGGAAGAAAGTTTTTTTTAATAGTCATTTGACTTAATTCATCTTAATTTGTCTCCAAAATATTTTCCTAGGGAGGAATTGGACAATTCAAGTCTTTTTTGGTCATCAGCATTGATAAGGCTTTGGTCCTCAGGTAGTAGTGGGGTCATTGTAGGAAAGTTCCAGCTTCCAATTCTTTATGTAGTTTGGTTTTTTTGAATGTTGGTCAAAAACAAGATGGTGCAACTTTATCAGACGTTTTCAGAAATCATTAGGAATAAAAATTCCATTACGATCCCAAAATATGTATTAGTCCTATAGCAGACACAATTCATTGCCCACTCCCCATAGTCATTTTTCCTTCCCTTTCCCTCCATTCCTTTCCCTGGGCACATGACTACCCAGCTAAAGACCACATTTCCAGCCTCTTTTGCAGCACAAGATGGACACATAACTAAGTCTTGGCCAGTGAGATGTGAGCAGAAGTGGTACGTGTACTTTCTAGGTCATTCCTTTAGCAAAAGAATGTGTCCACTCTCACCTTTCTTCCCTTCCCATGAGCTGGAAGGTAGGAGTTATGGCAGGAGCTGGAGTAGACTGGGAGGTGAAGCCACATGCTGAGAATGGCATGGCAACAAGGTAGAAGAAACCTGTCTGTCCTACAAGATAGAAGAAGCCTAGATCTCCAACACTACAGAACCACCATACCAACCCTGAACCATCTACTCATTCTTTTATGTAAGAGAAATATGCTTTGTTAGAGACACCATTATTTTGGCCTTTGGTATAGTAGCTAAATCTGTACCCTAACCCATGTTGATCTCAGTCACACTTCTTCTTACTCCTAGTTACTCTTATTCTCTTCTGGGCTCCATTTCATTTTGCCAGCCAACCTCTGACATTTTGCTATCATGATACATTGCCAAAGCTGTTGCAGGTGAGCAGGGAGTACCTGGGCCAGCGGTGCAGGGGTAAAATAATTTACCAAGACAGTTGTAGACAAAAACAAAAGGCAGATTTATTAGAGAAAGTAGGAAAATACGTTGCAAGGAGGCAATGGGCAGCCAGCAGAAGAGAAGCTAACCGCCAGGAAACAGGCTTGCTGGAGATTCTATAGAAGAGTGTTTATGCTGTCTGTTGAAGAGGGCTTTGTGCAGTTCTGATAACACCAAGGTTGCAGTGAGCTATAATAGCTTGCAGGTGTCTGGTGATAGTTGGATGCAGGAAGATTGTGAGTTATTTGTGCAGGAGGGCTATGTGTCCTGGACCATGAAGAAAGGAAGACTTGTAGTTTATCTGCTTTCTTTTTTTTTCTTTTTTTTTTCTTTGAGATGGAGCCTTGCTCTGTTGCCCAGGCTGGAGTGTAGTGGCATGATCTCAGCTCACTGCAACCTCTGCCTCCCAGGTTCAAGCAATTCTCCTGTCTCAGCCTCCTGAGTAGCTGGGATTACAGGCACACACCATGACGCCTGGCTGATTTTTGTATTTTTAGTAGAGACAGGGTTCACCATATTGGTCAGGCTGGTCTCGAACTCCTGACCTCAGGTGATCCATCTGCCTCGGCTTCCTGAAGTGCTGGAATTACAGGCGTGAGCCACCACACCCGGCCGTTTATCTGCTTTCTCTCTTTGCTTTCCCTTGGTCCTGCCAGCCTAACTCTGTTTCTCTAATTAGGACTCCACAAAAGCTTCCTCAGTCACTCGCCCTTCCTGCAGCTTATATGACTTCCTCATCCAATCACCACTCCACATCTCATTCTCAATTCTCCACCATGGCCTACCTCTAGATAATCCGTGATCTCTAACTTCTGCAAAGGATTCATAGAGATAAAGCAACAAAAGCTGCCAATATTTATTTTAACACTTAACACATGCCAGTTTCTATTCTAAACTAATTATGTATGAATGTAATGTCTAAACTAATTACATCTCATTTTAACCTTTCACCAGCCCTTCAAGGTAAGTAGTTTTATTCCCTCCATTTTGAAGATGAGGAATCTGAGGCACAGACAGGTGAGGGGATGCCCTTCCCACTCATCCTGACAGCAGTTCTGACTCCAGAAACCCTAAACAGAGACAAGCAAGATCAGAAAAGTCCGTGAACGAGGCAGGTGAATTGCTAGAGGCCAGGAGTTTGAGAGCAGCCTGTGCAACATAATAACACCATGTTTCCACAATAAAGTTAAAAACTAGCCTGGCATGGTGGGCACGCCTGTAGTCCCAGCTACTCAGGAGGCTGAGGTTGGGAGGATCCCCTGAGCCCAGCAGTTTGGAGCTATGGTGAGCTGTAATCACACCGCTGCACTCCAGCCTGAGTGACCCTGCCTCAGAAACAACAAAAGAAGAAAGAGAGAAGGAAGGAAGGAAGGAAGGAAGGAAGGAAGGAAGGAAGGAATAAAGGAAGGAAGGAAGGAAGGACGGATGGGAGGGTGGGAGGGAGGGAAGAGAGGAAGAAAGAAAAGTCCTTGAGGTCACTGAAGAGTATGACGGCCAGGCTATCTATGACCAGTGGCAGCTGCTGGGTGGTGGAGACAGGCTGAGCAGTTTTGGGGGACTCCTGCATCTCTGTCTCTCAAGAAACGGCACAACTTTTGTTGGGGTTCTGCTCTCTCTCCCTCGCTCCCAAACACACAGAATTCCATGGTTGTTTTAAATGGTGTTCTCCCCAGTGATTCCCTCAGAATCCTCCAATTCCTATCCTTGGGCTCTCTCTTATTTTTTATTTTTTCCTTTGTCAAGCTTTCTGCTTACTGAGAACCACATAATAGCAGAAAGCAACTTACCAAGCCAGACCCCAGAGAGCCCTACAAGTTGGAACTGGGTCTCTCCTCTCAGCCTGGGGACAACTGTGTCTCTCTTCCCCATTAGGCACATTGACCAACTGACAGATATTCAGTATGGTCACAGAGAAGGCAATCTGGAGTAAAAGATGCTTATTTAAAATGGAAAATTCTTCCTCTCTCATCCTTCCTTTTTTCTACTGAAAATGTCTCTCTGTCCCTTGCTCCCTCTGGCAGCTTCAGCAAGGATGATGTGTGATCACATGTTAATTGAGTTGTAATTCCTCCTCCTGTTAAAGTGGGTAGTTAATTGTTCATGGGAAAATTTAATGCTGTTGTACTAGGGATGTCACAGAGAGTTCTTCCTTCTTCACACCAGTATGTAGTCCATGCTACATGTCAGCTGTATTGTCATTATCCTGCCAAATGGATGAAAGGATTGCAGTGGTTACGGTCAATTGGCACTCAGCATCTAGTCCGCCTTCCCAGGTAGAATTTCCTGTTTGATTTACAGAGGCTGGTAAACTAAACTCTTCATTTCTCAGACTACCTTGCAGCTAGGTTTCTAGAAGAGAATTAGATTCTCCCAATTAGATGTGCCTGACTCAAGTGAGACAAAGGCTCTCTTCCTGCAGCTTTGACTATTAAGTATCTACTGGAGAACCAAGCAGCTAAGCTTGTCCTACCTCAGGGTCTTGCTCAGAGCCATCCCTGGAACCAGCAGCAAGCATGGCTGTACAGACGTTATGTTTCTCAATAGCAGACTTCCAGTGCTCTGTCACCAGCCTTGTAGTTGTCAGGGGCAATGATGTGGTGGCAGTGTTGGTGGTGGTAGCAGATGCCTGAATCCAGCTATGGCTATGGCCACATGGATTTTTAATTCATCAGCTTCAGATTTACCCACCTTGGTAGCAGCTCCCCTATTGGGCCAGTTCTGGTGTACTGTTCTGAAAGTTGTTCTAGGAGGCACAGTCTGGGGTCGGCTGCTTCAGCCCTGGCAATAATCTTTCAGGCGTCTAATTCCTGATACTACATAATCTTTTTGTTTAAAATTGGTATAATGGGTTCTGTTTCCTATACCTGAACGCTTTTAAAACGTGGAGGGGGGGGGGGGTTGGGGGTTTGGAAGTACAAACAGCTGAGAGCCATGGAGAAAAATTCTAGCATTTGGCTATGGAAAGGGGACAGTCATAGTACTGTTCTTGCTGAAATGCCCATGAAAAGCTAGAAAGGTATTTTTTATGCCTATTTGTATTACAAGTTGGTCAGAGGGCTTAGATTTAAAGCTTGTCCTAGGAAATTTCATTCATTTAGTCATTCAACAAACCTTTATTTTCTACCAGGAACGATACTAGGCACTGTGGCCAAATAAAGAATAAACCATAACCATGCTCTCCAGGTGTTTAGAGCAAACATCCAAAGGAAAATTAAAGGCAGCTTGGAAGAAGCATCTTAATCAAAGTTTGGGAATAAGACCAAATTTAGATTAAATTGTGATTGATGACAGTTAAAATTACCCAATTCTGTAGAGCTGTTCCCCTTAAATTCTTTTTGGAGCTGACATAAGTCAGTAGATAAATATCACTGCCTATGTGTTTCATTGAAATGCTTGTTTCCTGAGCATCTTCCCCAAGTGGAGTGTTTGTTTCATATGCATTAGCAAAAAATTACATTTTTCATTTAAAAAATATCTAGAAATGTTATTCTAAACTAGAACTGAGGTACAACACACATACTGTGGTTTGGAATGTGATATCAAGGAATCTATCACCAGCTCGGCACAGAGCATTCCAACTCTGGGAAAAATACAGCATCCTAAATGACGAATTTGCCAGTGGCACCCTTATTGACCAATTATTAGGTTGGTACAAATGTAATTGCGGTTTTTGTCATTAAAAGTAATGGCAGGCCGGGTGCAGCGGATCATGCCTGTAATCCCATGACTTTGGGAGGCTGAGGCGGGCGGATCACCTGAGGTCAGGAGTTCAAGACCAGCCTGGCCAACATGGTGAAACCCCATCTCTACTAAAAAATACAAAAATTAGCCGGTGGTGGTGTGGTTGTTGATGCCTGTAATCCCAGCTACTCGGGAGGCTGAGGCAGGAAGAATTGCTTGAACCCGGGAGGCAGAGGTTGCAGTGAACCAAGGTCACACCACTGCACTCCAGCCTGGGTGACAATGAGACTCTGTCTCAAAAAAAAAAAAAAAAAAAAGTAATGGGAAAAACTGCAATTACTTTTGCACCAACCTAATATATTGAGTGTTTATTTTAACCTCTTTAAAACAAAAACATAACTCTTCATTTTCTTCCCCAAACATTTGTTTCCATGAGGGCAAGGACCTTTTCTATTTTGTTCACTGCTGTATCTCCAGCAACTAAAAATAGACTCTTGCACACAGCTGGGCTCGATCAATATTATTTGAATGTTGAATATATCTTTTTAAAAGATTTTCTGGGCTGGGCACGGTGGCTCACACCTGTAATCTCAGCACTTTGGGAAGCCAAGGCAGGTGGATCATGAGATCAGGATATCTACAGCGGCCTGGCCAACATGGTGAAACCCCGTTTCTACTAAAAATACAAAAATTAGCTGGGCATGGTGGCAGGTGCCTGTAATCCCAGCTACTTGGGAGGCTGAGGCAGGAGAATCGCTTGAACCCGGGAGGCAAAGGTTGCAGTAAGCCAAGATTGTGCCCTTGCACTTCAGCCTGGGAGACAAGAGCGAGACTTCATCTCAAAAAAAAAAAAAAAAAAAAGATATTTTCTGGGCCAAGCTCAGTGGCTCATGTCTGTAATCCCAGCATTTTGGGAGGCTGGGGCAGGAGGATTCCTTGAGGCCAGGCATTTGAGACCAGCCTGAGCAACATAGTAAGACCCCCATCTCTACAAATTTTTTTTAAAAAAATTAACTAGGCATGTTGGCCTGTGCCTGTAGTCCTAGCTACTCAAGAGGCTGAGGTAGGAGGATAGCTTGAGCACAGTGGTTCAAGGTTATAGTGAGCTATGATTGCACCACTGCCCTCCATCCAGCCTGAGTGACACAGCAAGACTCTGTCTCTAAAAAATAAAAAAAGATCCTTCTGGCTAATGTGTGAAGGATAGGCTATGGGGTGCAAGATGGCAAGCAAGGTGGCTACAGTAATCCAGGTGGGCAGGTGAGAGATGGTGGTGGCTTGGATTAAGGGTCTTTGGTGGAAGTGATAAGAAGTAGTCTGATTTGGGATCTCCTTAGAATGGAAACCAGTCAAGACCTGCCAATGGATAGGCTATGGAGTGTGAGAAAAAAAAAAAAGGAATCAAGAATGACTCCTAAATCTACTGCTAGAGCAATTGGAGGAATCACGGTCCATTTACCGGAACTCTCGGCATAGGGACAGCCCAGGCAGCAGCCTAGGCAGGTGTGTACATGGCCTGTTCAAGGAAGAGCAAGGAGGCCAGTGAGCAGTGAGCCAGAACAGGCAGGAGCTGAGGTCAGAGAGGTGTTTGGCACAGATCATGAGGATCTTGTCAAGGAAGGTGAAGACAGTTGATGTTGTTCTGAGTGATGGGAAGCTCTTGGAGGTACAAACTGCAAGTGTTCTAACACATGATCACATTTGCATTTTTAAAGGTGACTCAGGCTACTTGTGTAGAAAATCGACCACAGAAATGAAGAAATAAAAATGGAGAGACTGGTTAGAGCTATAGCAGGGGAGCAGGTAAGAGACAGTGGTGGCTTGGACCAGGTTGGTGGCTGGGGTGGGGATGAGACCAGTGAGATCATGTCTGCTTCTGAAACATGCCAAGCTCATTCCCTCCTCCTGGACCCTTCCCTGGTTGTTCCTACTAACTGGGCTGCGCTTCACTCACTATTCCACCTCATGCAGGTCTCTTTCCAATTATCACCTCCTCAGAGGTCTTCCCTGAGGAAGATCCCCTTTAACATGGTGCCTGGTGCCTCCTCTCTCACTCCCCTTTCTTTGCTTTATTTTACTCACTCTGTGTCATCCACTGTTTTTATATTTTACTGATGTATTTTTATCATCAACTTCCCCCACTAAAAGGTCAACTCCATCAGGACAGAGGCTTTGTTGTACCCACTGCTGCATCACCAGCCTCTAGGTCCGTGTCTGCAAACAGGTATTTGTTGAATATAAACGAAGCACTTAGGTAGGTGCTGGGAAGATTTTCTTTATATGACAAAGGGTTTCCTATGCAAATATTCAGTGTAAACATGACTAAAGGACAGGGAATATTCAAACTATGTTAAGGAACATGCTATGTTAGGGAACTTTCTACGTAGGAAAACTTTTTTTTTTTTGGAGACAGGGTCTCACTCTGTCACCCAGGCTAGAGTGCAGTGGTGCGATCATGGCTCACTGCAGCCTCCACCTTCAGGGCTCAAGTGATCCTCCTGCCTCAGCCTCCTGAGTACTGGGATTACAGGCATGCACCACCATGCCCAGCTAATTTTGTTCATTTTTTATAGAGACAATGTCTCACTATGTTGCCTAGGCTGGTCTCAAACTCCTGGCCTCAAGCGATTCTCCCACTTTGGCATCCCAAAGTGCTGGGATTACAGGCATGAGCCACTGGGCCCAGCCTACACGGGGGAACTTCTCATTGACATACAGTCAACAGGTGAGGGGCATAGCAGCAGGTCGATTCTTATGTATGTGAGTACTCTCTTGCACCAAGATACAGGTCTAAACGAAAAAAATTTAGTTATTTTTAATAAAAATGCCTGGTTCATATTTAAAAAAATAGAACTTCTGGGGGGTGTAATTCCTGTAATTCCTGTTAAAAAAAAAAGTAGCACGTATTCACAATATAGATCTTTACACAAACACATGCATTGAGCAAATACATGTTGTCTTATTATTTTTGAATGCAGTCTTTTCTCCCCATTTCCTTTTCTATGGTCAGCCCTCGCCCCATTTTCTTCCCACCATAACACCTTGAATATGGAGTATACTTTTTTTTTATGTAATTCTGTATAGAATATATACCTATACACATACCCAGGGGAATGCTGTTTATTGTTTTACAATGTGGGATCATTTATACATCTTTTCTCTCCTCATCTCAACACCACCTCATAGAAACTCCTCCAAGCTATCTGGCATACTCTGATTTTCCATGTTCATTGGTTACATACTATGCCATGGTGTGGACGTGTAATAATGTGTTCAGCTTTTCCCTCTTGGGAGGCAACCCTCTGTTTCCTGGCTTTTGCTCCAACAAACTATGCCATAACACCCATCTTTGAAATGTACAGTTTCAGAGCAGGAGGTGAAGTTGGATGCTCTTTCATTCAATCCCACAGTTAAGATAAATAAGGATCAGAAAAGTAAAAGAACATGCCCAAGGTCACACAGCTATTTGCTTGGTGCTTTGTAAAAATTTGAATAGCTATTATTTCACATGCTCTTCACAAGCAGGGCAAGTATTATCAGGTCAACCTTAAAAGTGGAGAAACTGAAGTCAAAGAGACCAATTGCTTTGATTTTATTACCAGTGAGGGCTAAAGCTAGGGCTTAAAGCCAGGACTTCTGATTCCTGATCCCCAGTAGCTTCTTCCACTCCTGCGTTGATGGAAACCATTAACTCAAAACTTCTACAGGGCAGCCTTCTGTTAATATATTCTAGACATCAACTGTACACCAAGCCTGAAAAAAAAAAAAAGTTTCGTTAAGAGAATGACACAGTGTGGATTTACCCATAATTCATAGCATACTTTCCTTACCTATTAGAATAAATGATAGTTGAGGTTGTTAAAAGTCTTTAAAATTAAATAGATTAAATTGTGAGTGCTGGCTCTGCCAGTAACTCTGCAACCTTCAGCAGATTACCCAGCATCCCTAAAACCCAGTTTCCTCATCTATAACCAAGGATATAATTGCACGGCACCTGCCTTCTCAGGTATTGTTAAGATTAGATGCCACAGGTGTAAGAGCAGATAGGATAGTAGGATCTTGATAAAGATTAGCTATTATTTTGGATGCTGTAATTCTTAGGTCTCACCCAACTGAACCGGTAGATATCTTTGATATCTTTCCTTCTTCACTCTTGTCTAGGACAGGGAAAGCCTTTCTTATCTATGGGTCCAGGGCAGTTCGATATCCTTGCTGGTTACTTTGTTATTTCTTCGTAAGTGTAGGGTTACAGCGGGAAAGACCTTGAGAGTTGTCTCTTTTAGCATTGTACATTGGCTAAAGTGGAGGGGAATCTGTCCCCAAAAATGGCAGAGTGGGAATATTCTGACCCTTCTGAGCACGGCTGACAGTGTGAGCCATGGAGAATGATGACATTTTTCAGCAACAGAACTGTCAATGGATGTGTTACAGCTATTTTAGTGCCTTCTCCCCTCCTGGAGAAAAGCCATTTTCAAACCCGTTGCTTGCAATGCATTAAGTGATGAAATACAGATAACAAATTGCGCATTTGTTTGGCTTCATGCTTATTACACCCCCGGTTCTGGAAAGCATTGCACTTAGCCCCTTAATAATCCCTCTCCTGAGATCAATTACTAGGATTTATCTGGTTCCTCGAGCATAAAAGTGTTTTATTGTTTTTACTTTTGCTCCAAGTGAAGTGTGAGTGGGTAGGCCAGGTTAAAATGGACTGTCCCAGACAAGAATATGAAGCTGGGATCATTGGCCCTGCTTTTACTGTCTACCAGGTCCTCATGACCAGGAAAGGGGGGAATATTTGGAAGCCACTTCCCTGGGGAGGCACCAGGTCCAGATGTCCTCATCTCTGGCTATTTGCACGTATATAGAACACAGGTCTGCAGGTGCCTAGGAAGGTGGGTGCTGTTCCACGGGAGAAGCTGGAAAGCAGAACCAAGTTACCATCTCAGACCAAATCGTTTTTCCTCTAGAATTTCACTGTAATCCAAACCAGTTGAACATTTGAGAAGAACTGGGTACCATGAAAAGGGGTAATGGAATTAGCTTTCATGTTTTTCCAGGACTCTAAACCATATTTCCTGTCACAACTGTACATTATTAATACAAGGCATCTGTTAGCGCACAACTGCCTGAAAATGTGCACCCAAAAACCTTACATCTGGTTTCAATAATTTATTTCTGACATTTGTAGTTGGTGGTGGTGGGGAGTGGGGGGAGGATGGGAAAAAGGGGGGAATTAAAGCAAGATGTTGCCTTTAACCCATCAGAAGCTCCTGTTGGAGCCGAAAGCTGGAGTTCTTAACGTGGTTTCTGCATTAGGTAATATATTAATTTAGCAGCAAATAGCAAGACTCCGGGCCTGGTGGGTGTGGGTGCCCGCTCGCTTTTATCCTGCCTTCTCTGGCTGCAGCAATTAGCTTCCTCTTGCGAAGGGGATTAGGAGGACCACCCCCCAGCGGCGGGGGTTGGGGGGCTCTCGCAGAGCTGTCAGGTGTCATTCGGCTTACCCAGCCCCCCCACCACTCCCCGCCCCTGCAATTAACTCCCTCTCCCGCTTTGCCAGCCCCTCACCCGCACAGAGACAAAGAGGCCTGTTCCCGAGGTGTCCGACCTCCTGCCCCCTTGGCGGGCCCCGCCCGGGTTCCTCCAGCAGGAATCGCCCCAGGCGCTGGGAGCCAGAGCTGGCCGGGTCTGACACCCGCCCCAGACTTTCCACGATCAGGTTTCAGCTCGACTAACGAGGGGGAAAGAAAGAACGCGCGACTTCCGCGGGCCGGAGCCGCGCGGGGGCCCGGGGGAAACGCCGGCCTGGTCTGGGTGGGAGGGGACGCGAAGAGGCTCCGGGCTCGGCCAGTGTCTGCCCCGGGACTGGGCCCTGGGACTAGGCGGGGCACAGGTGTCCCAGGAGGGGGCGCCCTGACTTGACGCGAACGGGCCACCTGTCCCTCCCACGCCTGCGCTGCCACCCGCCCTGCTCCGCCATCGCCTCCTCCAAAGCTCCCCGGATCCTCCGAGGCGTCGTCGTCCGAGTTGTTCTGCGGGAGGAACTTCTGCTAAAGCCGGTCCTCGAGTCCCCCCCGCCTCAGGAGGGGCAGCGCCCGGATTGTCTTAAGTACAACACTTGCCAAAAGGGGCTCTTTGGGATTTGGGACTTTTTTTCCTAAGCAACAGACGTACCTTTCCAGACTCACCAACTTAGAAGCACAGGTTTTCTGTTTGTTTCATTATTAGACTTTCAAAGATCATCATGTCCCACAGCCTCCTCCTTTTCCAGATGAGGGGACTGAAAATCAGAAACATTTTGCCTTTTGCTCAAGGTCACACAGCTCAAGTTCACTGGGCGGCTGGGACTAGAGGGTCCGAATATTCTGCAGCTATGATATGAAAAAAATAAGTTTGGCTGGAGGGTGGAGGGCATCCAGGTCTGTCCTGGCCAGCCGGCGGGGAGGCTCAGCCCAGGGTTCAGATTTTCCTGGAGCCAGTCCACCAGCGGTCAGGCCACATGTGAGTAATGAAGAATTGAGTGTTGTGTACTTTAGGCTGGTCTCCCTCTTCCTGGCCCCCTTCCCCGGCCTTAACTTCCTTTTGGAGTCCCTACTGACTTCTGGGTGTCCACCATGGGCCCTGTTGGAAAAATTTCAGCTCCATCCCAGAATAAAAGGAATGAAAACCTGGGGAAAGGAGCCAAGAAGGAAAAGCCACAAATTCGCATCTGGCCGAGGCAGAGGGAGCAGCTCCAAGAGCCTGCAGAAATGCACTGTGACTGCTGTTTGCAGAGGTTCAGCTGCCAGAGGCTCGGATGCCCTCCTGGGTCCTGCTCCTGAGAAATCAGAGCAGGCAAGAGAGAAGACACATGTTCCCCACCAAATTTTTCCTGCCGCCAAGTCCTTCAGGTTTCTGCAGACCATGGGGAAGAACAAGAACTATGGAGTCAGGCAAGAGGTAGCTGGAATTCCAACTCCCCAACCCATTAGATGGGGCCTTGAGTAAGTGACTCAACCTCTCTAAGCCTCAGTTTCTTTGCCTGTTACATGAGGGGAACAACAGGACCATTATGAGGACTTATATAACGTGTACTATATAAAGCACTTAACACAGTTCTTGTACCTAGGGCTACATTGTAACTTTTGTGGGTTTTAGGCATTTTGGCCTTCGCGGCCATGAGCCCTTCATCAAAAACAAAAATTAAAAAATACAAAAATATTTTATGGCTGCATTTGTATAAAGATGAACATAATAATATTATGTAGTAAAGCATTTTTTTTTTTGAAATGGAGTCTTGCTCTGTGGCCCAGGCTGGAGTGCAGTGGCACGATCTTGGCTCACTGAAACCTCTGCCCACTGGGTTCAAGCGATTCTCCTGCCTCAGCCTCCTGAGTAGCTGGGATTACAGGCACCTGCCACCATGCCTGGCTAATTTTTGTATTTTTTGTAGAGACGGGGTTTCACCATGTTGGCCAGGCTGCTCTCGAACTCCTGGCCTCAAGTGATCTACCCACCTTGGCTTCCCATACAGGCTTGAGCCACCGTGCCCAGCCAGTACTAAAGCATTTCTTAATCTAAAAATATTATATATTGTTTTGTTTCTACAAAGAAATTAAAACATTTCCATGGGCCCCCAAAAGCACTGTGGGCCCTCGGCACTGTGCCTAATGGATGTCAGCCCTGCTTGTCTCCCAGCTCAGGATCTGCTTTTAGGGTAGCCCAAACAAAGACACAGGGGCATGTCTATGACGTGTGAGGAGCCACAGCAAAGAGACAACCGAGAGAAGAGTGTAATGAGTGAGGGTGGGGGGAAGGAGGAGAGAAATAGCTTTCATAAACTCAGCGTCCTCCCAATCCTCTTGCAATCACATGGGGTTGCTGTTGTAGCCCTCCCTGCAGGATCTGTCAGGACTGTGCTTCCCGTACGTCAGGTCTGCCCTCTGCACCATCAGCCCTCTATCTCCACTCCCTCTGCTCATACCCAGGCAGGTAGGTAGTGTAAAGCCCACCTTCCTCTATAGGCCCCTCTCAGTAGTTCCTCTTCACAGACGGGCATTTATCCTACCAGGATTCTAGTCCCTCTTGCCAAGGAGAGATCCCAGGCTTTGGGGCAACACTGCCCTAGCCTCCTGAGCCCCACATGTGGAATATCTGGCCATGCCTTCCCACCTACTTTTCTCCTCAGGGCAGGCCCACCTCCGGGGTACTTTTCAACGCAGAGAGCCTCAGAGATTGGACATGAGAGAAAAAGGTGCTCTCCTGCATGATATTAGCTTTTCTTCCATCTGAAGTCACAAGGCTGGGTCATACAGTCAGTCCCTGGGGGCACATAGCTCTTAGGATTCGCTCCTAGCTACCAGGCAACTGGCAGAGACTAAACAGCTTATGTTTCTAAGAGGGAGTGGCTAGTGTTTATCAAAGACTGATGTGTGGGCTCCAGCAGCCTCTCCAGACAGTGGCTGAGGCCTGTCCTGAGCTCTGGGAAAGCAGGAAGTCCCCGGCTGGGCTGGGGCTTGCTGGCTTTGCAGGAGCACTGGCAGGATCTGAGGAAAGCGTTCCTCACAGATGTCTCCTTCAGAGGCTGGTGGATTCCTTAACAGCTAATTAGTGAGAAGTCGCTACCATGATGGGGGCTGACCTAGGCCTTCCTCCACCTCCTCCTTGGGGTTGAGACCCCAGGAGAGACCAGCAATGCTTTACTATGGTCGTATTTCCTCCCCGACGTCAATGCTTTCTTTAGGAATCATCTCTTCAGTTTAAGCCTTTTCTCAGAAACCAGCTTTTCTCTGACAAGTTTGCAGCTCAAAAGGAACTGGCTCCTCTTACTGTTGAAATCGGGCACATCTGGAAGCAGTAAACTTTTCAGCAGGCTGAGGGGGAAGAAAAGATGTCTTGTAGGGGACAGATTCACCTCTGGGACTAATTATTCTTTATATTTCACCCGTCACGTTTACTATCTTTGTCAGAGCAAAGAGACAATAAGTGATCTCATTAAATCCCAGAAAGATGCTTCTCCCCTTCAAGGAGAACCTCTCAACACCCTGTCCTCTGACAAGGGCCATGTCACTGAGGTTGGCACAGGGGCCTGGGAATCAGGGATGGGTGGGGCAGAGGCGCTTCCAAATGCTTTTCTTCATTTGAATATAGTGTCTGTGTTTTCTATTGCTGGAAATACCCTTGTGGGTCTGAAATCAAAGTCTTCTCTGGCCACATTTTCCCCAGACGTAGGCTCCCTTTGGAAAGACAGAAATGAGAGGGGATCGGTCGTGGGGTTAAAAAAAATCATTTTGGGGGAATTCTGAACCAGCTCTTCTTCTCCCTTCTTCCTATCAAAAACTCATCCTGTGGCTGGCTGCGTTGGCTCACACCTGTAATCCCAGCACTTTCGGAGGCTGACGCAAGAGGATTGCTTGTGCTCAGGAGTTCAAGACTAGCCTGGGCAACATGGTGAAACCCTGTCTCTCCAAAAAATACAAAAATTAGCCAGTAGTCTGAACTGGGAGGCTGAAGTGGGAGGATGGCTTGAGCCTAGGAGGTTGAGGCTGCAGTGAGCTGAGATTGTACCACTGCACTCCAGACTGGGTGACAGAGTGAGACCCTGTCTCAAAAACAAACAAATGAAACATCCTGGTAAAAAGACCAGAGAAGACACTGAGTCAGATTCTTCCAGGGCTGGGTGACAGTTGTATGAAACCCCTATTAACCCCAGTGAGTAAGGCACCAAGTTCAAGAGGCTGAAGATGAGACCCAGAGCCAGCAAATGAGACATGGGGTTTTATTAGAGGCTTCCATACAGGGGGACATCGGGCCGGACAACATAATCGAGTGGCCTAGTGGCAGTGGGCTGGGCAGGAAAACTGCAATGGCCTCCAAATCTCATGCAGTTTGTATAGCATTTTCACTTAACACCCTCCCCCTAACAGCTTTCACCCAGCAGAGTTCATTTAGCCCCAAAACTCAGGGCCTTAATCCCCTGTACCACCATGTCCCATAGGATGGGCCAGGGACTCAGATGTTCTGCATAGACAAGGAATGAATCTCCTGGTTGGCTACTCCCAGATTCCCTAGCTCAGAACACACATTCTGGTGCATCTGCCATACAGGGTCATTCTGAGGATATGCTAAACTTAATGCTGACAGGTGCGTTTACCCTACAATGACCCTCCACAAAGCCATCGCTGTGATACCAGGGTTCAGGAGTTGCTGTCACTTCCTTTCCCAACCACATAAATGAGCAGCTCAGACAGGGCCCCAGCATCCGATTGATTGTCTTCCCAATCCACACCTTTTAACCCTTCAAACAGATACACTCAAGTCAAGGGGATGAGTGTAGGGTGAGAAATTCTCTCCCTCTGCACTCTTGTCAGATGTTGGCCTGAGGTGGCCCAGAAGGGTCTGAACCGCATCTTCTGAAGGATGCCTGGTGTCTTTCAGGTCTTCCTTACTTAAAATGTGCTTGACAAAATTAGCATCACTTGAAATCTCCTTCAAAAGTACACAGTCTCCTAACCCTTTCCTGCCCCACATCCCAGGCATTTTAACAAGACCTCCAGGTGATTTGTATGAATGCTGTAGAATGAGACGTTGTGTTCTAGATCAGTAGTTCTCAGTAATTGGCTTGGCTCAGAATCACTGGCAAGACTTGTTAAAATGTTGACTGCAGGACCCTGCCCCAGAGTTTCTGATTCCAAAGGTCTGGCATGGCTGAGAATGTACATTTTTAATAAGTTCCCATGTGGTGCAGGTGGTGCTGATCCAGGGACAACACCAACATGGTTCCCAAGCCTAATTGCATAACACTTAAGGAATTGTGTTTAAAAATACAGATTCCTGGGCTCCACTCAAGAAATTCAGATTCTAAGGTCTTATAATCTAATAACAGGGTTTTTACAACAAAGTACATTTATATAGCACTTTAAAGTTTACAAAATGCTTTTGTCAGAGGCTTTTGAACCAGAGCAACTCCATTTTGAATAGGAGTTGGGTAAAATGAGGCTGAGATCTACTCGGCTGCATTCCCAGAGAGTTAAGGCATTCTAAGTCACAGGATGAGATAGGAGGTCAGCACAAGATATAGGTCATACAGACTTTGTTGATAAAACAGGCTGCAGTAAAGAAGCCAGTTAAAACCCACCAAAACCAAGATGGTGACAAGAGTGACCTCTGGTTGTCCTCACTGCTACACTCCCACCAGTGCCATGACAGTTTACAAATGCCATGGCAACATCAGGAGGTTACCCTATATGGTCTAAAGGGAGGCATGAATAATCCACCCCTTGTTTAGCATATCATCAAGAAATAACCATAAAAATGGTTAACCAGCAGCCCTCAGGGCTGCTCTCCCTGTGGAGTAGCCATTCTTTTATTCCTTTACTTTCCTGATAAACTTGCTTTCACTTTGCTCTGTGGACTTACCTCAAATTCTTTCTTGCGTGAGATCCAAGAATCCTCTCTTGGGGTCTGGATCAGGACTCCTTTCCGGTAATGAAATGAGAGAGTTCCCTGACCCCTTTGCAGGATGTGCAATAGGGGTGTGGCTCATTTATTCGGCCCCCCCAAATACTCAAATCCCTTAAGGTAGCGGGAGCCTGCAGGTGAGCAGGTGCAGGAGCTGGGGTGAGCGCTTTTGGGCTCCAGCCCCACAGCAGCGTCTAGGGGTGTTACAATGCTGTTTTAGCCCTGCCATATGGGGATGACTTAATTGTTAAACAGCTGAGTGAAGAGTCAGTATGACAGCCTTTTTGGCTTCCTGCATCCAGTGCATCCCGAATTCTTGTCCAGTGTCCAGGAAGAATCAGGTCACACAGACTTGAAGGATGGTGAATGCGGGAATTTTATTGAGTGATAGAGGTGGCACTCAGTGGGATGGGGAGCTGGGGAGGGGATGGAATGGGAAGATGATCTTCCCCTGGAGTTTAGGCATCCTGCCGCCAGGATGCCTCCTCTCCAACTGCTCCCAGCTGAGCTCTCGACATTCAGATGCTTTGTCTGTTCTCGCCGTCTCTGCTGTGCTGCTCTGCTGCTCTTCTGCTTGTGGAGCCTGGCATTTGAGGTTTTTAAGGGTACAGAATGGGGGACGTAGTGGGCCAGGGTGGTTTTGGAAAACACTTGGGCAGGAGGTCAGGGATAACTGTTCTCATTTAGGGCCATGGTTTCCAGCCTTTGCCGGGTAACCACCCTCTTCTACCCAGTATTTCCCTGCCTCCTGTCTGTATCAGTAACACTTTTATAAGCAATATTCCATTTACTCTTTGGAATGAAGAATCTTCTTACAAATAAGGAGGAAGCTCAGGTTCTGAGAGGTTAAGCAATTTATCTAATATTTCTTAGTGAGTAAGCCAAGATTTGAACCCAAGAATTCCAAAGCCACAACCTAAACTTTTCCATCTCATCACAGCCTGTTACAAAATCATTGTAAAGACTGAGTCTATTTCAAGTATTTTTAGTTTCATGATCACATTTGAGATAACTGTTCATAGGATTTTTCAGAGGCAGTTTTATGGTTTTGTGGAAACTGGTTAATGAACAGATAAGACTGTTTTGTACAAAGCAACATCTATTCCCATGCTGGTAATATCCTTGGGTACTTAGAAGCATGCCAAATAGATTGAACGTGCCTTCTCTGGTCTTAACTACCCTTTCAATTACCTTTTTTTTTTAAAACAGGTTAAAAAAAAAAGTAAAAAGACCCAACCCTTTCTTCAAAGGTCAAACTGATCAAATTTTGATTTAGCTGAGCCTGAATCAATGAGTTTACTGTGTGTGCAGACTCCCAGTCCACATCACTGCCATACTGCCCAACTAAGCTTTTTCAGTCAAAGAAAAGGCATCTGCTTGCATTGTAAGTACTAGTTGTTGATGACAAAAAAAAAAAACATTGTATGCCTCAGGCCATATCTACGAAAAAAAAAAAGAAAAAACTCTTCCCTGAATCTGTCCTCAGATCCTTTTTAAATGCAAGTTGAGACGAGAGGTTTCCAAGCTGGCTGGGACCAAGAACAATGCCCTGTAGCTGTGGGTGTGGGAGTGGGTGCGGCTTGTCATCCGGCAGCTTTTGAAGAGGTGTCAAAAAAAGGCCATTTTGAAATAAGTGCTCCAGTTACCTAAAAGAGGGCAGCGCCTAGGTCAGAAATGTCCAGAGGTCTCCTTGAAAAAAGAAAAAGGGAGAAAACAGCCTTCCTAGCTGGGAAGCAGAGCTGATATTCTCCCATGCGTGAACCCCTTTCCCAGAGGTGTTTCTGGGAGCACCGAAATCAAATTACAAAACCATTTTCTGCCTCACAATTACTCAGTTTTTTTTTCTTTCTTTCTTTTTTGAAATAGGGTCTAACTCTGTCACCCAGGCTGGAGTGCAGTGGCGTGATCTTGGCTCACCGCAGCCTGCACCTCCAGGGCTCAAGCGATCCTCCCACCTCAGCCTCCTGAGTAGCTGGGACCACAGAAACATGCCATTACACCTGGCTACTTTTTGTATTTTTGGTAGAGATGGGGTTTTACCATGTTGGCCAGGCTAGTCTTGAACTCCGGGGCTCAAGTGATCCACTTGCCTTGGCCCCCCAGAGTGCTGGGAGTATGGGCGTGAGCCACCATGCCTGGCCTTAGTTGAGGTTTTAACTGGCAAAACTTTCTTCTTTCAAAGTCCAGTGCTCGACTGATTTTCTCCTTTCCTCCCTGTCTGGCAGGGATGGCAGTGGGGAAGTTGAGGTGCTGCAGAAGAGTGAGCCGAGGGTGCCTGTGTCTTAGATCACATGCCATAACCAGGAAATATTTTTAGAAATCCAGAAAAAAAAAATCTCCTGGGCGAATGCTGTCGATTTTGTGCTGTTTGGGGAAAGTGGCTCATCAGAGTAAATGCCTCTCTCTCTGATGCCTTAAGTATCCTCCCTGCCTCAGATGAGCAGGTTATTAAGGTAATGTTACCCTTTATTGCTGAAAAGCAGTGTAAATAGACACCCAGACTACAGAGATTAGCTGCTTTCAAACTGCAGAAATGAGACACTTTCTCCTACAATTTCCGTTTTCACCAAATAGCATACCCTATTTACTTGGGGGAAATAGTCGCCTTCTTATAATGACCACACCCATTTGCTCAGATGGAAGAAGCTGGCAAAGTAAGTGCTGTTATTATCTGGGCAAATCTTTGAGAGTTTTCTTCCTCATCCTGTGTTGTTCTGCTGTGAGCTTACTGCCTTCCCTTCATTCAGTCACATGCAGAAGGTACTGCCCCTTCTGCTCCCCACAAGGGTCAAGGAACTCCCAGTCCTAGGATAGAGGGTGTCTCTTGACTGATGGGGATAGGGGTAGGGGTGAGAATCATTTCAGGACCATCTGATACTGACAGAGGAGACCCAGCCTGCTGCCCTTGGAGAGCTCTCAGCTGATGAAGGCACAGCCCTGACATGAGGAAATTTACACACACACATGCACGCATAGACACATACATATATACATTTACACATGTACATATGTGCACATATATACACATACATTTCCACCAAATATTATATATTAATATATTTTTTCTGGGAACACATAGGGAAAAGTAGCATTTGGTGAATAACACTGAGACTAAGAGACAGCATAATTAGTATTCATTGACCCAAACTATGGAGTTAGTGCTGGGGAAAAGAGATCTTAAAAGGAGGGGGTGTCCCTCCATGTAGAGTGAGTCAGTGTGACCTAGGTATACTCCGAGTGCTTAATATTAGCCTAGGAAAGAATAGCAGAGACTCCGCCTGCTGCTTCCCGACAGGGATTTCTTTATAACCAAAGCACAATAGCTTTACCCAGCCCACTGTAACAGGATAAACAAGTTTGATGTAACTTCCAAATCTATTTTCTATTGTAAGTTCGTTTATTGAATAAAATAGCAATTCAACATGTTTGCAAATCATGGTGCTGTTAGATGCCAACGCTGGCAGAGATTCATGTGTTTACTGTACAGCTCGCCCAGTTAGGCTCTGCTACTCAGCAGAGCAGCAATGTGGAATTCCAAACAGCTGCAAGTAGTAAGTGGAAAGCGATTTTTGCTAATCATCCAGGAGGTTATGTGGCATGGTGGAAACTGGTTCCAGACAACAACTTGCGTGTAGAGTCAGGACTTGGAAGCAGCTTCTGGATATTTGCTTTTTGGACTGATACAAAGTAAGAGCGAAGCGGTGACGTGATCTTGCACACTTGCATTTAGTATTCTCTAAATGTGAACCTGAATTTGTTTTACATTAGAAAACCCCTTTTCAACAGTTTTTGGGCCTGGTTCCCAGCATCTGAAGAAAATGCACAAAAGCAAAGATGTGGTCCGCTTATGGGGGAAAATGGGAAAGCTACCTCCTCATGCTTCTCCAAAGGACTTAAACATTCTTCTGAGGATGTGTGTGGTTTTTTAAAATCTATGTTGAATGTAGAATTAACTTACATCCATTCAGCCAGAGAAAAGTTGATCTTGGTTTCTCAGTAAAAGCACATTTTCAAGATATCGATGTGGAATCAGGGGCTTTGGTGGTGGTCTACCAAGAAGTATACCTAATCTGTGAGTATCCCTGCCCAAGTTGGCCACTCTAAAACTCAAGATTTCCTAGGTCTACCATCACCTTTTGCCGTGCAATGATCCCCAGCCCTGTTCCTCCCTGTCCTGGCTAGAGCTTAGAATGGGCTTTGGAAGCCCAAGCTAGAGGTTGCATTTCTCTCCCATCAAGAATGGGAAATGAAGACCCTCTGCTGCTGCTTTTTATCTGCAGCTAGAGCACTAAGAACATGGCCTCAAAGCTGGCTGCCAGGTACACAAGTAGCCAGGATCTCTGCTAGGTCCCTTCTGTCCTGGTCTTTGGCATCCGAGGTAGACCTAGCCTGTGTTCCAGCCGCCTAGCTGTTTGCTGCCAGCTCAGTTTCCCAGGACTTGGGCCTAATCCCGGTCTCACGCCTCACATGGAGCTGGCTGGTTCCCGTTAGCATTTCAGTCTACCCCTAATGGCGAGCACCGTTGCTGCCAAGAACTCATGAAACTGGATTCCCATTTGGCCCCTTCTGATCAGACTCTTCTGGACAACTTTGCCTGCTTGGAAACAGGCGGCAGTTATGCCACGTCCCTTGGACTTGTCTATGGCTGCTCAGGGAAGGGCTGTGTCTGGTCCGTATGTTCTGATTCATGATATCCCCTCCCCCCAGCCTGTAGTGCAATTGGCTTCAATCTGGAATTCTAGGTAATGCTAACCCCTTTTGGAATAGCTCCTTATAGCTATGATCTGTGCTGAACGAAATAATCTTATCAAGTGCAGAGGCTTTCAGAGAATGTTATCTACCTTTCAAAGTAAAGTTCTCAAGAACATTCTAGAAGATCACATGTTTTGTTTTTTCTCCACAGCCTAGCTCAAGGAATAGGAGATTTGATAGATTTATGACAAGGCCTTTTTCAAATGCATTGATCTGGCTAGCTTTGGTCCTCAAAAGAATGTTCTGCCCTGGAGCAGGCCGGTCTTATCAGACACAGCTACGCAAATGGGTTGGTTCTTGCAAATGGTCCAACTGACCATAGAGAAAAATAATTAGCCAAGTCTTTAGTTATGCCTAAGAGTGTACTTTTTTTTTTTAAGATAGGCTCTCACTCCTGTCACCCAGGCTGGAGTGCAGTGGCACAATCTGGGCTCACTGCAGCCTGGACCTCCCGGGCTCAGGTGATTCTCCCACCTCAGCCTCCACAGGTGCAGGCCACCATGCTCAGCTAATTTTTTGTAATCTTTTTAGTAGAGATGGGGTTTTGCTATGTTCCCCAGGCTGGTCCCGAACTCCTGGACTCAGGCGACCCACCCGCCTCCACCCGCTAAAGTGCTGGAATTACAGGCATGAGCCACCGTGTCCGGCCTCAGAGTGTACTTTTACTGAAGCTATTTTCAGTGGGCACTGTTGGGGTCACACTGATGTGAGGTGAGAGTGAGCCATGTGCCAGCTTCTGTCCCTGGCCCACAGAGTCACCTTGATAGCTGTGCGCTGCCACAGGGACTGCTGCAGCCTCAGGATGGTCTATGCTGTGGGGAGGGCCTGCAGGACTGGGGTCTTTCTGACCTGGAATGAATATAGAGCATAGGTGGACCTATTTCCTGCTGCCAGATTTAAGAAGTTTGCCACAGAAAATGAGGCCTGGGCCTTTGTCAGGAAATCTGCAAGCCCAGAAGGTTCAGAAGGGCAGAAAAATAAACATGTACAAGAATCACAAATGAAAGCCAGCAAGGGACTCTGTGAGCCACTGAATGGAGATGGAGATGAAAGTGCAGAGTCTTGTGCAAAGCCTGTGAAGCAAATCATAGAGCCGGCACCTCGAGTGAGCAGAGACATTTTCTTACATCGGAGGCTTTGTCGTCGTCTACACTGATGGCTACTGCTCCAGTAATGGGTGGAGGAGAGCACTAGTGGGAACTGACGTTTACTGGGGGCCAGGCCATCCTTTAAATGTAGGCATTAGACTTCCTGGGTGACAGACAAACCAAAGAGCAGAAAATCATGCAGCCTGCAACACCATTGAACAAGCAAAGGCTGAAAACATCAATAAATTGGTTCTGTACACAGATAGTATGTTTGCTATAAATGGTATAACTAACTGGGTTCAAGGTAGGAAGAAGAACAGGTGGAAGACAAGTACAGGGAAATAGGTGATGAACAAAAAGGACTTTGTGGCACTGGAGAAGCTCAGTCAAGGCATGGACATTCAGTGGATACTTGTTCCTGGTCATCCAGGGTGTATTGGCAATGAAGAAGCTGATAGATTAGCAAGAGGAGCTAAACATTCTGAAGACTAAGCAAAGTGAATTTATTACTTGGGAAAAGTTGAGCCAGTGGCAGTTTTGCTACTTTTGCTTACTGGTACGGAAAACAGACTGCAGGCTGGACCATTGCAGTGGATGGGCAGATGTGGCTTTCACACTGAATCACGGTGGCACAGTGGCATTCTGTGATACATTTTGATAAAAAGTGGTTAAATATATAATAAATTGAACATCTCTGAGATTTAAGAATTATGTGAGATTTCAGCATTATGCTTACTAGGTTTGACACTTTTCTTGCTTATTTTATTGCAATCTGGTTTAAAATGCTACAGGTTTGATTTTTTTTTTTTTTTGAGACGGAGTCTTGCTCTGTTGCCCAGGCTGGAATGCAGTGGCACAATCTCTCAGCTCACTGCAACCTCCGCCTACCTTGGCCTCTCAAGTAGCTGGGACTACAGCCATGCGCCACCACGCCTGACTAATTTTTGTATTTTTAGTAGAGATGGGGTTTCACTGTGTTGGCCAGACTGGTCTCAAACTCCTGACCTCAAGTGATCCACCCACCTCAGCCTCCCAAAGTGCTGGGATTATAGGTGTGAGCCACCGCGCCCGGCCCACAGCTTTAATTTTGATAAGAAATCAAAAAAACATTGGTTAAAAGATGCAGGTCAGAAGTCTAGAAATATTCTGAAAGCATACATTTATCTTCCAGTTCACAGACTTGAGTCTCCTGCTTTTACAGGTCACTTGTGCCTGTGGGCACATTAGAGACAGATGCAGCCCAGGGCCTGGGCGGGCTGCTCAGCAGAGAAGATGTGAGCTGGTCTCAGCCTCACGTGCCTGCCTGCTGGGCACTGACATAATAGGTGAAGCCTGCACACAGGCGACCCTGGCTGCTAGGCCACTCTCTAGGAACAGTTACAACTTGTAAAGACCAAGATGAATACATAAATCTTTCCAAAATTTCTTTGGCTCTTTTGTTGAAAACTGTGCACACTTAAAAAAAAGTTTGACATGATCATTTATTTAGTTTTAAACCTTTTTATCATAAAATAAAAACACACAGGAAGACAGACACAGACACAGACACACACACACACATGCTATTTTCGTTGGGACTTCTGCCTAGAAGAAAATCCTTATTGATCTGTATGTTATGAAGGCTAGTGGCATTCAAAACTGTTAGCTGCATTCAGACAATTTTTATTTATTAATGGAACCTTAATTTTTAAAAACATCCCTTATTATTTTTTTTTTCTTTTTCTTTCTTTTTTTTTTTTTTTTGAGATGGA